>NC_000005.10:153357784-153658102 GCF_000001405.40 Homo sapiens | reverse complement strand
CTAGCTCTAGTGCTGCCTCACTGTGTGACCTTGGCCAAGTCACACCCCTTTGCTGGTTGTTTCCCTATAAACAAGTGAGGTTTAAGTGGAGTTGACTTCCTAAGTCCGCTCTAGCACTAAGGATCTGGGAGTCAAGGGATGTTAAGGGCTTTCCTCACTCCGAAGTCAAAAATTCCATTTTTGCAAATGGTCTTTGGAGGGTGAGACTCTTCGTTCCCCAAAAGTGTCTGGAGAGCCACCCTCATTTAAAATGCAAATACCTCTGAGAAAGGTAATATATTTAGCCATTAACAGCTGGGCCTAAATTAACCTACTTCTCTAAGCCCTTCTTATTTCAAGTCCTCACTCCGAAATATTGCCAAGACAAGTTAGTTGAAGAAGGGGAAAGAAGAGTAAGGCAGGGATCTATCTAAGGCTGGATACCAGGTCAGAAAGAAGGACAGAATTTCTGGATTAGGCAGGATGCTTTGGTCACATTTTTAGATTCATGCACCCTGTGCCTTATTTCTACTAACAGACTTTACTCCAGAAATGAGTAACAAATATTAATCCTTTGTTCAATTACTATTGCTCATAGAGATAATCAACACAAAATAACATGGTTAAAACTGAAGCCAGTTATATGTTCAGTTAAGTAAGTTAAAACCTGAAAATTTGTTATAGATAAAAAGCTAGAAACCACTTCTTAATGGAAACATGGAAAATTGCAAAGACAGAACAGGATAATAAACTGTAGAAATAGTTATCATTAAGAGACACTTGCCATCATTCAAACTGTCACATGGAAAAATTTGTTATTGATTAAAATTTGATGGGTGATGCAGCCACTTTGGAAAATAATTTTGGAGTTCCTCAAAATGTTAAACATAGAGTTATCATATAACCCAGTAATTCCATGCCTAGGTATATATTAAAGTGAAAATCTTGTACACTAATATTTTATAGCAGCATTATTCATAATAGTCAAAAAGTGAAAACAACCCAAATGTGCATGAACTGAAAAATGGATAAAGAAAATGTGGTATATGCTCATAATGAAATATTGTTTGGCAATAAAAAGGAATCAAGTACTGATACATGCTGCAACATGGGTGAAACTTGAAAATGTTATGCTAAGTGAAAGAAGTCAATTACAAATGACCACATATTGTATGATTTCACATATATGACATGCTCCAAACAGGCAAATACATACGGATAGAAAGTAAATTAATGGTTGCCTAGGGCTGGAGGAGCTTAGGGGATGATAAGGAGTCATTGCTAATAGGTAAGGGATTTCTCCTAGCAGTGATGAAGAATTTTAAAATAAGACTGTGGTGATGGTTTCATAACTTTGTGAATATATTGAAAACCATTTAATTGTACACTTTAAATGGATGAATTGTGTGCTTTATAAAATATGTCTCAATAAAGCCTTTAAAAATGGGGCTAAACACCAAATAAAAATACATTTGGCTTTGGATAGAAAAGCTAGAAGAATTAAACTTCATGACAAAAAAGCTGGAGGTACAAAACATGACCCAGAAAAAATAGACTTGACAGAAATAATGGTTACAAAAGAAAACTCATAATAGTATGTGCTACTAGGTAAAATTTAATATATACAAAAAATGATTTGATGAGTTGTTTTCTTTGTAATATAAAAAACAGTAGCACTCAATACAATGATCTGTAGTACATTAAAACAAATATATATATATATATATATATATATATATAAACAAACTTATCTATGCCATATAGAAAAGTGAATATAAACTAAATGGACATAATATTGTTCATGCTGGGAAGTTGTTTCTGGTTAAAATTTTGTCAATACTAGTGTAATTATGATGTAAATGTATTTATAAGAAGTAAAACTATCACTGGGGTCAAAATGGAGGACCCAAACCAGTAAGATCAAGACATCTTGCATTAATTCAAAGATGTGGTGATTTTGTCCCTATTGCCAAGGGGCAGAGCCAATTAAAGCTGGAATTGTGAAGATGATAAAGCCGTGCCCACCAGTATGCTCTCTTCCAAGGAAGGTTAGAGGTTCATGAATAGTGTGTTGTGGTTTGATGAGTGGGATGTGGAGAAGATAAAAATGTAGTATTGCCAAGACTCATTATTACAGCCCTGAATTGCCCCTTCCACCTACTCAGTTCACATCAGCCAGGGACAACAGAAGCAAGGTAGGGCCCCAAACCTGGAAAGGACTTGAGCTGAGAGCCTGCAGTGCTCTACTCACCAGATTTGCAAGAATGTAGTGGTAGCCGATGCCATTCTTCTCTAGCTTTATAATCTACAAAACATAATAGGTGGAGACTCATTAATCATACTAACAGTTAAAGCCACGACAACAACAGTAATAACGGCAGCTGATATCGAGTGCTTACAATGTGCCCTACCCTAAGTACTAGAACTACAATATCCCAACCATCCAATGATGGTGGCATTGTTAGCATCCTTATTTTACAAATAAGGAATAGGCATGGACTGCCTATTATATAACCTCTGTAAGTTGTAATCTTACAGCTACTAAGTGGCAGATACAGAATTTGAAATCAGTTTTGTCTGATTCCAAGGGTAGAGTGGTGTTACTGTAACCCCAAGGACCCATCTGAAATGCTCACTGCGTTCTTTCTTTCATAAACCTTCCTTGTATGTGGAGATTCTTCTTTAGGTGGGAATTTTATGTTGCATGAAATCTGTCATGACAATATTCGCTGATTGGAAAAACAGATGAGTTAATAGATGGATGGTGGATGAATGGTCAGATGGGTATGTGGATGACTTCACCTTCAATTCCTTGCATGAACCATATATAGATGCTCTTCTTTCTTTTTCTGAATTTTGTGCCTTCCTCCCCGAATCAGTTAGGTACTCAGACATTAATGGATTGCCCAACTTAGAAGCTGGAAGGGAAAGTTAGGATCATCTGGTCCAAACTCTCACTGTACAGATAGGAAGTCAAGACCCACAGAGGGAAAATGCTTTGCCCAGATCTGATAGTAGCCTGGTGGCAGTATCAGGACAGGGACCTGACTCCTGTGAACTTTTCCATTTGATGTTTGATTATGGTTAATCATTAAGAACCAGTGTCAATGAATACCCTTTTATCCCAAAATGCAGACTATCCCTAATCATCACAGGTAGAAAAAATATTTGTGGAAAGAACTGCCCAGAAGTTTGCTTGGGCAGGAGACACACCTAATAATGAATGGTTAAGACTACAGACCTTGGTTTTAGATCTAGCTCAGCCTGCAGATTAACTAGATCTAATTCCCTATTTTTTTTAATCATCAAATTGGGGTTAGTGTACTCTGCTCGGTGTCTCTCTCCCTGCACTGTTGCAAGGAGACATATAACAGATGATAAGCACTTGGGCTTCTTCTCTAACTGAATAAATTTTCAAGGTTATTAAAATCCACATTCAGACATCTACTTAATTGGATGTATGTGCATAGTGACTCATGTTTTTTTATGTGGGGAATAATTAAATGCAAGCACACACAATGAATTCTTTGAAATAGTGGTTAGATTGTGAAATTCCAGACCACGGAGCTCAAATACTATTGGGATGATAGTTTTATTAATAATTCTTCGTTACTTTTTCATCTGCTTGTCAAATGGTTTGCTGCCTTTTCAACAATGAGACACCTTTATCAAGAACCTATTCAGCTTCTAATAAACACAAAACAGCAAAGACATGATATTTTAAAACCAACCACATTCAGGCAATGGAGAAATATTGTCCCCACAAGATGAAAGTACAAATTGAAACAAAGGAAACAGCTGATAACTGATGACTTTTGACTTATAAAAACTGGCAATTTCATATGATCCAACCTGATACCAACCTTCCCATCTATCTATTCCCCAACCTATACATTGACCTTCCCTCCTCTAATACCTTCCTTTCACAAATATGTATTAAGAGCTTGCTATGGGTGAAGCACTATTGGCAACACAGTGGAAAGGTGAAAGAAGCATGGTGCTTGCCCTCTTGGAGGTTACACTTCATTGAGAGGAGATCCATAATAAATAGGTGAACAGATAAATATATACAGGGTAACAAACTGAGAAAGGTGTTATAAATGTAAGAAGCAATTTCACAAGGGGTCCATCACCTCACTGACCCCCATTACTTCAAAGCTCATTCCCAATGCATTGCCTTCATTCACAATATTTGTGTCTGAATGGCCTCTCCCATTCTCTCTGATTGTTCGTATCCTTAATGGCTGAGCTCCAATCTCAACTCCTCTGTAAAACCCTCTATGATTAACTAATTAATCCATTCAACAAACATTTATTTAACATAAATTATATGCCAAGCACTATGCTATGTGCTGGGGAAACAGCATTGAGCAAGTGAGGCAAGGTCTCTGTGCCCTCATTGAGTTGAGTTAACATTTTAGTAGGGTGCCAGATGGTCAATATATAAATAGATAAATGAACAAGATTTCAGCAGGTACAAGCACCATGAAGACAATAACATAGGGGGATGTGATGGATAACCTCAACAGGTCCTGGTCTATTCTCACTTCTAACTAATTTTGTGCTTAATGACTGTTTTATATGCTTTGGCATCATATATTGATAAAGTATTATATTCTAATAATCCTGTTCCTTGCTCACAAACCTTCACTGACTCCCCATTGTTTACAGAATAAACCCTAAACTCTTTCTAATGGTTTCCAAGGATATTCTTGATTGTGTGTTTATCTTCCTGCCATCCTCTCCAGTGGACGCTCAGCATCCATCACTCAGCCTGCAAAACTGCAGTATGAAACCCAGCCCTCACATGCCCTCTGGGCCTCCTGACATGCCTTTTCCTCCATCTTAAAGGCTCTTATCCAGCCAATGGCTATCTATAGAAATCCAGATTTATCTTACATTTAAGAACTTTCTTAGAGGCTTCATTGATTCCTTATTCTTTTAATTCACTGAAAAGAATGTATTGAATACTTTATTTGGTGTCAAGCACTATCCAAGGCATTGTGGACTCAGCAGGGAAGAAAATAAAACAAAAATCCCTGGCATCGTCGAGCTTAGATTTTAGTTGGGTGGGGGCTGGAGACAGACACAGGCAGTTAATTCCCTATTTGGAATTTTGAGTCACTGTTTTTTTCCTCAGATTAGGTGGAAAATTTTGTGTTAGACTGTATGCAGTTACTGAATGTAACTGTATCCCAGGTACGTTCCCAGTTACTGAATGTGAGATAGTCCAGGATGATGCTAAGTGTGAGATTGTAAGTCAGAGATATAAGTTGTAGGCTCATTACTGTCATTCATTATTTGTCTAAGGCAAATAACTTAATCAATTTGACCGTCAGTCATTCTATCTATAAAATGTAAGCATAAGCAAAGAATCAAGTGATCTGTAAAATCCTTTCAACTCTTTGGTCTTACTTTTCAAAATAGATGAATGAAACAATTTTAAAAAATGTCAATATGCTACAATCTAAAATACCCATACAAACGGGTCACTTCTTTACAAAACGCAAGTTTGCCCTTTGAGAGAGGAGTTAATTATAGATAGCAGAAGCAGAAAAGTTGCATTTTTAAGAAGCTAGGCTCTTTGGCCAGACCAAGATAGGTTTGACTTCCTGCTTTTATCATATGCTAGCTGTGAGATGTTGGGCAAGTATAATCTCTCTTTTCTTCATCTATAAAATAGGGGAATTGAAAAAAGCTGTTTTACAAAGTTGATGTGGGAATGAAGTAGGATTATGCATGGGAAGGTCTTGGCATAGTATCTGGTATACCATACACACTAAAAAAATAGTAGTAATAGCTACTGTCTGTACCATAGAACAATATACAATAGGTCATCTGTCTATTAATATGTCATTATCATTTGGCACTTTTTCCATCGACTATGTTATCTTGCCTTTTTATCAGTTTTATAGAACAGAGGCCTTCATTCACATTTTACAGATGGATTCACTTATGCCCAAGGAAGAAAGTGACTCAAGAAGCTGGTCCTAGTAGGCACTAGGAATAGCAAAAATAGGCAAATGCTTGCTTGTACCACTTACTGTGGGGCAGACTCTGTTCTAAGTGCTTCACATATATTGATTCTTTTAATTCTCACAAGAGCCCTCTAAAAGTGGCTATTATTATGATGATGATGCCCATTTTACAGATCAAGAACTTGAGATGTAGAAAGATTAAAAACCTGGTCAAGGTCACAAAGCCAGTAAATACTAGAGCTGGGATTTGAACCCTAGCCAGTCTGGTTTTATCTCTGCTCTTAACTATTATCTTATCCTGCCTGAATTGAAAACTGCAATTCAAATCCCTGACTCCGGCCCAGAGAACTTCCATCTCAAAGGAACAAGTTTTGCTGGGTTTCTCTTTCCAAGAGGGAAGGCCAAATTTGTACTTCATAAAGTAGAACAGTTAGTGCCTTAAAGAATCCATAACATTCAAACTCTGTCTGTGTTCTATTGCTGAGGCCTCTGAGTAATAGCTGTCCTAGTACCAAGATTCTCTGTGAGGGCCCCAGGGGTCTTGAAGGCCATTAACAAACTTTGTCATGTTGTCAAGTACCTAAAACTATCAATTTTATTGTATGACATTGTTCAAAAGTTATTGCAACGTCTGCTACCTTGCTAGCTCTGAATCTGAATACATAAATGTAGTTTAAAAAGATAAGGAATCTACAAAAAATCCTGCTAATTCTGTGGTGGGCATGTGCTTTTGTTTTGAGACCAGGGGAAGCACAGTTTAGAGAGATCTAGCTCAAGACTGTTGAAGTTACAATGCCTGTTTATAGAAGAATGTACTGTCAATTGATTTCTCAAAGGGAAGGGCATGTTCAGGGAAACAATGGAAATAAAGGTGCCTGCTGCTTCCTTAGCCTTTCAAAACAGGTAAGAAGGTGAAAGGAATGAGATGCCAAACCCTGGATCATGAGTGACAGAGTCCAGAGTCGAACCCAGAAATTTGGCCCTATAAGCTGTGTTCCTAATATGATAACATTTCATAAACTCTAAAATGGAATGTAATTTATCATTATTATTTTTTATTATTTTTCGAGATGGAGTCTTGCTCTGTTGCCT
Organism: Homo sapiens; assembly: GCF_000001405.40. Lineage (NCBI taxonomy): Eukaryota > Metazoa > Chordata > Mammalia > Primates > Hominidae > Homo > Homo sapiens. The sequence continues at coordinate 153,651,053 of NC_000005.10, read as the reverse complement.
AGGCTGGAGTGCAGTAGCACAATCTTGGCTCACTGCAACCTCCACCTCCCAGGTTCAAGGGATTCTCCTGCCTCACTGTCTCACCCTCCTGAGTAGCTGGGATTATGGGTACATGCCACGACACCAAGCTAATTTTTTTTTTTTTTTTTTTTTTTTTAGTGGAGACAGGGTTTCACCATGTTGGCTAGGCTGGTCTTGAACTCCTGACCTCAGGTGATCCGCCTGCCTCAGTCTCCCAAAGTGCTGAGATTACAGGCCTGAGCCACTGCATCCAGCATTTTTTTTTTTTAAACAATAGAGGGATACATTGGAGTTAACAGGTCTGAGAACCATTTGAAGCCCTATGTCAAGGCTCCCATTGTTTGTGCTATTTCAGAATTAAATTTTGTGAATTATAGAAAATGAGATAGAGGTCTTTTAGTCTCACCTAGTCAAGAACCCTCTTTATAACCCTCTTTATAACACCCAAGGCAAAAGTGTGTCTGGCTATTCCTGAATCACCTCCCGCACCCACCCTGAGCCCTTGCTGCTTTCACTACCTGGCCCAAGATAGCATTGAGGCGTTCTGATTCACAGTCCACCACCACCAGCCGCTCCTTTTTCTTCTCCAGGTCCTGAAAGAGCATCCGGTATCCCTCCTCTGTGGTTGTCAAAATGTTGACTGCTGTCACCTGCCAGTTCTTCTCAGCAGCTGTATCCAGGACTTTCTGCAGGACGGATAAGCCTAAAGTTCAGATGAGTAGAAGAGAAATGACAGACAGTCAGGATTTGTGGGCACCACCCACTCCCATCAGGCACCTACCTCCCCTGGCTACCCCCAAACCCACTCTTCTGCCAAACTCAGTTCTAGTTTTCTCTGGCTGCAAAACTCTGAACTCTGTGAGATCAGACACTGTGTTTCTGAACATAGATGGTAGAACTAGTGATTAAAAAACAATCTGAGGCTCAAATCCAACATATGGCTAAATGGCCTTGTGCAGGCTCATTAGCCTCTTCAAACTTTAGTTTCTTCAAAGGTAAAGTGTGGTGTAAATAATGCTCACCTCATAATGTCATTATGAGGATTAAGTGAGAATGTTTGATACATAGCAGAGCCTGACACCTGCAAGGGTTTTATAAATATTAGCTGTTAGTTTTATTCGGCACTCAGTAACTGCTTATTAAATGTGCCAACCTAGCATCTAAATGGTCACCTAATAACTGCTGATCAAATTTGTGAATGTTCAATATAGTATCTTTAATACCTAATACTTTGTCTCTCACACAGTAGGTGTTTAATATGTGTCCTGGCAGGCCAGGCCCAGTGGCTCACGCCTGTAATCCCAGCACTTTGGGAGGTCGAGGTGGGTGGATCACCTGAGGTCAGGAGTTTGAGACCAGCCTGGCAAACATGATGAAACCCCATCTCTACTAAAAAAAATTACAAAAATTAGCCAGGCATGGTGGCAGGTACCTGTAATCCCAGCTACCTGGTAGGCTGAGGCAGGAGAATTGCTTGAACCTGGGAGGCAGAGGTTGCAGTGAGCCCACATCGTGCCATTGCACTCCAGCCTGGGTGACAAGAGTGAAACTCTGTCTCAACTAACTAACTAACTAACTAACTAACTAACTAAATAAATAAATAAAATGTGTCCTGAATTAAACTACTCTCTTCTGATCTATAGCTAAATGAGTAGAGAGGCCATTACTCAATGCTGCTTTGTTTCTTCTTGGAGAATTAGATGGTGTATTAGTTTCCTACTGCTGCTGTAACAAGTTATCACACACTTACTGGCTTAAAACAACACAAATGTACTATCTTACAGTTCTTGAGGTAAGATGCATGAGATAGGTGTCCCAGGCTAAAATCAAGGTGTCAGCAGGGCTGTGTTGGTGTCTAAAGGTTCTAGGGAAGAATCCACTCTCTTGCCTTTCCAACTTCTAGAGGCTACCTGCATTTCTTGGCATATGGCCCCTTCCATCTTCAAGGCCAGTAATGGTGGTCGTCTTTCTCACATTGCACCACTCTGACACTGACTCTTCTGACTCCAACTTCCACATTTAAGGACCTTGTGATTACATTGTGTCCCCCCAACATAATCCAGGATAATTACCCTATTAAAGGTCAATAGTTTAGCAACCTTAATCCCAACTGCAGCCTTCATTTTCCTTTGCCATGTAACATAGACATATTTGCAGGTTCTAGCGATTGCAACATGAACATCTTGGGGGGGGGTGTCATTATTAATTATTCACAGATATTATTTTGATCTTGCATGGATTAATTTTTTGTATGTATGTCATTTCTGACTTTCAGTAACACAGTTAACCTCTTCCACAGTGACCAATATGGTATCTGGCCTCAAGAATCATCTGCAGATTGGTTCTGCTATGCCTTCCTATCTTTGTTTCCTTTTCAGTGCAAGTTGTTTGGTGAGTTTGAGACCAACATTTACTGAAAATGTACTGTGTGTCTGGCACTGTTCTACTGGTTTTAATCCACTTAATCTTTCAAGGTAGATACTATTATTATCCCTATTTTATAGTGTGGAAATTGAGGCTTAGAGAGATTTAGTCATTAGTCCAAGGTCACACAGCTGACAAACGGCAGGGCTCTGAGCTCTGAGTTCTGAGGTAGGTGGAGCTCTTTTGAGAGTGTGGGTGCTTCTGCTGACCCCAGAGATGATCTCCCACAAGCAAAGGTACATTTTTCTGGCTTTATTACTTCCAGGCCTCCAGCTACATTATGCTGCAAAGCTGTCCTGAAATAGACTTCCAGGTGACCCCTGCAATAGTCACAGTCTGAGAAGGGAAGTCATCAAAGTGGGGACAGTGAAGAGAAAATCAAAGAAAATAGGGTGTTCCTGGTTTCTTCTGTTGGCTCCTTCCCATCTGAACGACGCCTGCCTAACTGCCTGAAAAATCACTTTCACAAACCTCTCTCCAACTCAAAAGTTTTCTAAGACTCCCTGCAGGCAACCACATCAGTACTGTACTCCTCTGTCTCACCTTTCAGGTCTTGCGTGACCCATTTATTTGTTTACACCAGTAGTGAATAAATTATTACAAGACTATTTAGTATACAATGAGAAGGTAGGACAGTACAAGACAAACATCACGGGAGTTGGAGAGAGTGCTCCCATCCACAGAATTGGGGAATAGGGACATCCTGCAAAAGAGGAGAAGGATTTACAGATGTAAATTGGAGAAGGGAAGTGCATTCCAGAAAACTGGAATAACATGAGTAAAGACATAGAGAAGAAAAAGTATAGAAAACATTTGGAAAATGTGATGTTAAATTCAAAGGAGGAAGAATTAGAAAGCCCAGAGAAGGATGAAGATTATGATGAGGAGGATGATGATGATGATAACATCTAAAACAGAGAAAGAATTTTGAGTTTTTACTATGTTGTAGGCACTGAACACTTCATAGTCATCTCATTCAGTTTCACAAAACCTTTATAAGATAGACATTGTTTTTATCCTCATTATAGACATGAGAAAATGAAGGCATAGAGAATTTTATCCCCATTATATAAGTGCTGAAATTGAGGCAGAGAGAGTTTGTCCAAAGTCAAACAGCTGGAGAGGACAGAACCTAGGTTTCAGATCCAGATCTGCCTGACTCCAAAGTCTGAGGTCCTTTTGCATTGAGTTTGGACTCAGGAGCCATGAAAGCTTAGTGAGCTGTAGAGTGACATGGTGCATTAAGAGAATTATTCTCAGAATGCGTTTCCAAACTGAATTAGAGGTCAGCTACTGATAAATCAGTCAGATTTCTCAGAAATAAAGCATTTTGGATAATTTTCCCATATTTTTCAGGGAAGCAGTGAGGCATCATTCTCCTTTCTGCTGGTAATTTTCTCTCCATCCCTCAAAAGTCTCCCTCCCCTAACCCTTGGCTTACCCCGGTCGGCATCATAAATGTAGACAAATTTCTGCCACTTGTAATGGTCAATGATGCTGATGAGGGCATCCTGCAGTTCAGGGCGCAGCTGAAGGACAAACTGATTGGATGTATCAACGGGAAAGCTCGGCGTAATGAAGCAGACGTGGAGGGCCCCACAAAAGGAGGTCAGCATGTTGACAGTCCTACGTTCATAAAACCCAAAGATGGCATAGACTCCTTTGGAGAACTGGGAACAGACTACAAGAGAAGAGAAGGATTAATGAATAGAAGACTGCAAAAAGTGGTCAGATGACTCCAAAATGAATCCATCCACTAGTTCATCCATCCAACCCATCAATTATCCACCCAACTGTCATCTATCCATCTACCCATCCAACAAACCAATCCATCCATTCATCCTTTCGACACACCAGTCTATCCAACTGTCCATCCATCCTACCCATCTAACTACCCCACTCACACATTCACCTGTTCGATGCCTCATTCATCTGTGTAAATCCAATTTTATTAGATATCTATTAGAAGCCAGAAGTTGTCATGGTTATTAATTACAGTAGCCATGTATATAAGACACTTTCATCTATTACCTTACTTGGTCTCTACAATGACCCTATTGAGGCTAGAAAGGGATGACTGGGTCATTTTTTTAAAGGGGAGAAACCAAGGCTCAGAAATTTAATGAACATATTCAAGGTAGCACAGCTAGGACATATGACTTGGGCAGATATTCTTGACTCTTAATCTAACGATCTTCCCCTCACATTGTCTATCAATTAAAGGCAAAGCATAAAAAGGTGCTACAGGAAGAATCCAGCTATTGCTGCTAATACACGTTTAAGAAAACAAGTGTCGATTTTCCCAGTCTAGCCCAGCCCTTAACTCTCAGTGTTCATTTGTCTGCTAATGTTCACTTTGTGCTTGTACATCTTGCTAGCTGATTTTCAGACCCCCCAGTGTATCAGCCATAGTAATAGCTTAGCTGTGAGAACATACCCACAGGACCGATTCTGTAGAATCCCAATGCAGTTGCCAATCCTGGTTTGTGGTTGATTATACTTCTAATTAAAATACGATGCTAATAAGACCAAGGTCATGGGATTAAACTCCAAGTCAGTCAGCTCCTAAACTTTGTTTTACTATATGATATAGGATGAGAGTTCATAATCTTTGCCCCAGTGAGACCAACCCCAAGGCCATCTTCAATGCCTAAAAATTGCCCTTCCAAGGTGGATGGTGAGGAAAGTCATTCATCCTTGTCATGAAAACAGTATTTTAGAGTGCTTTGTGGTCCTTTTACATATATTAGGCTATTTAGTCCTCATCACATCCTTGTGACTTAGGTATTATTATTTTTTTCTTTTAAGATAAAAAAGTTAATGCTCTTAGATCCTTTACTCTTTTTACCATATCACCTGTTTCCAGAACCCCACATTGCCACTGTGTATGGGATCTCAAATTACAGTATGCGACCATTGCCCAGAAGGTTTCATGAAACTATAGCCCCACAAGATGCTCCTTAAAAAATAAGTCTTCTTTGGTCAAATACATTTGGGAAATGGTGCATACTTTGTCCCTGTTTTAGAGTTTCATACTTCACATTAGCTGCATAAAAGATTGTGAGGAATTCTACCCATTTTTATCCCAGATTTTGTCAAATCTATTTGCCTCCAAGACCTTTTTTTGGTGAATACTTTTGAAATGTTATTGAAAATCTTTTGGCCCATGCTGCAATAAAGAATGCAATTAACCAGTGGTACCTAATTGTCTACTGTGAGTCTCCATTTTCTGTTAGTCCCTAGAGAAAATGGGCTTTAAAGGTCATAATCTCTTAAAGATTGCAGCTGAACCATATAACCCATCTGTCCTACTCCCACTGAAAACCAGCATACCATCTGCAGGAAACCTGGCAGGTGATCATTAACATCTGCTTGCATACTTCTAGTTACTGAGATTCTGGTTTCACACAATTCTTGCTCTTGACCCACTCTATAGCCCTCCTGGTATCTGAAGGTGGTGTTCATGGCCTTGAGCTTTAGGACATTTGGTTTTCAGTGACAAAATCACTTCTCTACCCAGAAGCCAGAGAGATCTTATTTAAACAACAAAGACAAAACAAACAAAACACATTGTTCTTTCTCCTTGTACAAATCCACTCAAAGTTTTCCCATTGCACACAGGAAAAGTCTCAACATCTGACCATCACACAGAGCATGAATAGCCTGCTCCTCTGACTTCACCTAACTTACAACCGTCTTCTCCTTGCTGCCTGCTGTAGCCACACTGGCTTTCACTCTCTTCCTCTGGGCTCCAAGCTCATTCTGCATGGGAGACTCTGCACCAGCTGTTCCCCTCCTTCCTGCAATGCTCTTCCCTTACCTCTTTGCAAACATCACTCCTTTGTAGCAGTTGTGCCTCAGCCCAAATCTCACCTCTCTGTATAGATCTTGCTTCATCACCTCTTCTAAATAGTGACCCCTCATCAGTCTGTATCACATCACTCTGTCTTATTTCCCATTCTTTAATTAATCTAAAATAATTTTCTTTGTTTATTTGTATATATGTGTGGCTGTTTTAGTCAATGTGAATTCCCTGAAAATTAGGACATGCTTCTTTGTGCCCAAAAGCCAGCAGAGTGTCTGGGACATGGTAGATGCTTAATAAATATTTGATAAATAAATGAATGATGAGTGCTTGATGAGGGCATATGACCTGCAGCAGGGGCTGAGGAGGAGCTGAACCCAAACAGAGATGTGACTGTTGGGTCACCCTGAACTAGTTGCTCCCCTGCCTGGGTTGCTGTCTTCTAAGGTAGCCATTTATCCTCTGCCACTCACACTATTTTCTCCTCCACCCTAATGAGTACACTCTATCTATCCACAGCCCACAATAGGCACTGTCTTTAAATGTCTATTATAATAACTAGAATAAAGATTTCCATAAATATGATTTCTCTACCAGGAAGCATACATCACATATTATTCTCCCAATGTTAAATATAGATTTGTCAAAATGCACAATCCATCATCCAGGGTGAAGTGTATATGGGGAGCACATAAACCTCATTAAAATATTATAATATACTCTCTACAGTATTTTTAGGATCTCTTCTCTCCCCTTGCTGCAATAAAATATTATCCTACAGGATATAAATCTTATGATCCAGATCTATTCCCTCATGTCACCTACTTGGTTTCACACATTTAGTTGGGCCTCTGGGGCCCTCATGGATGGTGTTTCTTGCTAGGACTTTAGAAGTGAAGTAGGAAAGGGTGAGATGGGGGTGGACGAAATGGGAGCAGGCAGACACAACAAATCCTTAGACACACAGGAGGCCAGGACATTTTCCCCTTCAAATTATCTCCTCATTTTCCCCTTCTGCAAACATCTCTTACCTTAAACAGAGTGCTTTCTCCTCTAAGGCTAAGAGGGTGCATTTACGCACTACTCCCTAAAAGAGCATGGCTTGGAGGTAGCCTGGCCTGGATTTACTTGAGTGAACCCTGGCTCCCAGAGTTGCTCAGTGCCTGACTGTCAGACCATTTCTACACTTCAGCCAAACTTAAGCAACAGCAGAGAGAGAGGAAGTAAAAGAAAGAGAGAGAGACAGAAACAGACAGACAGACCCTATAGGCCCAAGGCCTGTGGGAGAAGGCAGTCATTGGTTAAATGTTGATAAATATAATTAGTAGTTGTGAGGTATTATATCTACTTTGAATCTGTCACAACCAATATTCAATCAGAAGAGATAACATGGTTCTGTAGACAAAGTACTAGGCTAGCTGTCAGAAGACCTGGACGATTCTCTTTTTGGTTTTATCATTACAGAGTACTTGTATGACTTTAAGTAAATCCCACGCTCTCCTAGGCCTCAGCTTTCCCATCTGTGAAATGATTGTTTGATCTCTATAATGCTTAATGCCCTTTCAGACTCTGACATTCTAGAGTCTAGTCTAATTGATTGGAAAATGTTTACTGATTCGACAATATTTTAGTTATTTAGTCAAATTCTAGCAACCCCCAGTGCACTTTTTCAAATCCAGTAAGCAGGTAAGTCTCTGAGTTCTTGGATTCCCTTGTAACAAAATCCTGGGATCCTGCACTGTCCCCCTCCTGCCTGCAGCCTGCTTTTCTTACCTCTTTGCAAAGATCACTACTCTGCAGGAGTTGTGCCTCAGCCCATATCTCACTTTCCTGAACAGATTTACCTTTGTGACTTCTGAATAGATGCATTTGGAGTCTTAAGTGTTAAGACACAACTTTTAACCTGCTATGTGAATAAGTTACCCAGTAGAGAGATGAAAGGAGGCAGACTAGAAAGGGAGCCAGAGATGGAGACTACATTGTCAGATATGACAAGTAGGAGAGAAGAGATGGGGCATTTTTCAGAATCAGAACTCTGTGTGTACTGGGTTAATGCACAGACTTCCATCATGTTGCTGGGATGAAACACAGTATTTGCCATTTAGAAAGCACTTGAATATGGTGTTCTCTTTCTTCCTCTTCTTCTTCTTTGTTTTTTTTTTTTTTCTGAAACAGGGTCTGGCTCCGTCACCTGGGCTGGAGTGCAGTGGTGCCATCATGGCTCACTGCAGCTCCAAACTGTAGAGTTGAGATCTCATTATGTTGCGCAAGCTGGTCTTGAACTGCTGGTCTCAAGCGATCCTCCCACCTCAGCCTCTTAAAGTGCTGGGATTACAGGTGTGAGCCACTGTGACTGGCCTGTAATGCTTTCTGATAGTAATAATTAAGAGCTGATACTTCAACACCTGCCAAGTGCCAGACACTGTGCCAAAGACATTTCTCTACATTAACTCCTTTCATTCCCTGAGGTGGGTTTCAAATTGGAGAAGTGAGGTCTAGAAACAGCACAAGGCAAGTTGAGAGATGACCTCTACCAGTCTGACGACAGAGCTTGAGTCCTTAATGTCTGTGATATGTCATGGATGTTTGAAATAGTCTTGGGACATGGGTCAGCTTCAGTTTCTGGAAAATCCTCTCATGTAGCACACTGTCTTCCCCTGATGCCAGATAAAGAGGCATTACTACATTAGAATCTATTGAAATATAAGCAAATAAAATTGAGTGGTATGTTTGATGTATTCCTGTCTCATCCCTGGGAAGTCTATACACATACACACCTATTCTTTGGTCCATCTATCCATCCACCCACCATTCGACACCCAGTATCTGGCATTTGTGAAGACACTATGTTAGGCAATGGAGATACAGTGGTAAACCAGCCCATCCCCAACCACTTTGGGATTGTCACTTTGACAATGGGAGAGACTGACAACTATGTAGGCAATAGCAATTCAGTCTACATGCTATGTTAAGGATGAGTTCAGCAGGCAGGGACACCTAACCCCATCCTTTGGGGACCTCAAAGAAAGCTTCCAAGAGGAAGTGCCAGCTTTGACACTGAAAGATAAGGAGGAATCAGCCAGGAGAGAGGTTTTGGTACAGTTACATGTGCATAAAGAGTACTGTATATGGGTAGAAGGAAGAGCAACAGCAAAGGCCTGGCAGAGATAGAGAGAGCATTCAGGGAGCCCTGCCAGAGTGTCAGATTCTGAGGGCCCTGCCTCCAAGAAACTCTGTAGCAGAGCGTGTCCAACAATCAGAGTAAGTAAAAAACGAGGCCAGGAATTCCCTCTTGGGGAAGCAGGAGGGCAGGAACCAGTGAGAGCAGGAAAACCCACACACTGCATGGCGTGGGCTGTCCAATTCTATCCTCACCTCACTCAAACCTCTTTGATAATCACTCCTGGTTAGGGCACCATCCACTTAGTATCAATAAATCTCCCAGCCCTGGGTACTGGCCCTGACAGCTGTCTCCCAGGGAGGGAACTCCTGGCATTAACAACTCCTTTTTTATTGTCACTTCATTTAAGGCCTCTCACACCGACATTTCTCCTTGGCTCCTGTCCCTGGGAATGTGGCAGCCTCATTGTAAATAGCAGATAATGAGGTGACAGGACAGCTTCATTTTAGGGGAGGGAGATCAAAAGTATGTGTGAATGGGGGGACTTTCAGGCACTCATTCCCCTCCTGGAATAATTCTATCCTTATTGGTGGGAATCACATTCTTCATCATCTTACTCTAACGTTGTAACATCAAGGGATGTGCTTCATTTCCATCACTCAGAGGACAATAAGAGTGCCTGTCCATCCCTTTTTATATTCTCTTGTATCGTAGATATAATGCTGACATGCAAAGAATTACCATAATAGATATAAATCATCCCAAAGCCCTTAAACAATATCACATTTACTTAGGATTCTGAGACACATCCAGGGTGTCTGTCATTTACTAGATACAATGTTATCATTTATTTAGTAAATTCAACAGATATTTATTGGCACCAGAAACTAATATTGCCAGAAAATTGGGGTACCACAATTACACAAGACAGACATGTTTTCTACCTTCACAGAGCTTAAGCAAGTGTTCAGTGAGTTTTACATTAAGGAAAATAAAGGGTGATTTGAGAGAGTAATAAAGGGATCAGCCACAGGATAAATGATCATAACTGCTATTATAGTCAGTGTTAACTGGGTCCTTTAGCAGAGGCCGGGCACAGTGTTAAGCACCTTGTTCCTGTGTCTAGATAGAGGGACCACTTTATCCAAAGCACCAAGATAAAAGAGAAGGGCACAACAGAAAAACTCCAGAAACACCAGTATGACTGGGGTCAGGGTATGGCACAGAGTTGGAGATGGGTGGGGACTAGGTTGCCAAGGGCCTTGCCCGGGCTGGAGAAGTTAGGTCATTGTGTCATGTGTCAATGTAGCATTTCACTTTGGTTTTGGATTCATTTGAGACTCACAAGAACTTTCTTCATCCAGGCCCTGATGCCCAGTTGGAAGATGGCTGCAAAAGGAGATGTGGAAGAAAAGCCATCCTCCCAGGTCATATTTGTGTATTTATTATTAAGCATGGGTCTTAATTACTAGGCATTGAAAGCCAATGAGATGTGGTACTGCATACGAGGCTAAGAATTAGAACAGGGCTGGGCTCACTGGTCCTGGAATTTAGACTCACCCTGTGGGCTGACATATGTAACCAAGGGCAGGGGGCCAGGGCAAACAGACTGATCAACTGGAGCTTCCCTTATAAAAATCTTCAGGTGCCTGACATGATTGTGGAGAAGTAAATGCAAAGAAGCACGTCTGTGAACAAGCCCCTTCTCCTCTCTGGGCTGCATTTTTCCTCTCTGGATAACAGAGTTTAAACTAAATCAGTGTTTCTCAAACTTTTTTTGTTTTGGTGAAGTACCTGTAATAGAACTTTTGTACTCACTGGGGATGTGAGGTCCTACAGATTGAAATTTTCTGTTTCTTCTCTCCATCTTTCTTCTGCCTAATCATTCACCCATCCAACAAGTTTCCTGAATGTGTAGTGTATGCTAGGCAGCAAGCTGGTGCTAGGGGTATACATCACTGGATAAAAAGATAAGTCTCTGCTCTCTTGGAGCTTAGGCTCTAGAGAGGGAGAGAGATGACATGTGAATAAACAAGGCCATTTTGGATGCTGCGAATATTACAAAGAAAATAAAATGGGATGATGTGAGAGTGACTGGCAGGACTATTTTAGACAGGATGGTCAGGGAGACCTCTCTGTGTCACTAGCATTGGAGCTGAGAAATGAACCCTAAGAAGGAGCCAGCCAGGCTAAAGGCTAAAGAAGCAGTCTCAGGCAGAAGGAATGGAACAGAGGCTCTGAATGAGGCTCAGGAACAAGACTGAAGAGCTTGAGAAACAGAAGGCCCATGTGGACACAGTATAGGGGGAAAGGAGGAAAGCAGTAGAGATGCAGGTGAGGAGAAAGAGATCACATAGCTCTCTGAGTAAAACTGAGCTCTTCTAAGGTATCCGGCACTTCATGTGTGGCATGGGTGCCTGGAGGGCTCTAGCATCACTTTGGCCTAAGAGGGTCAGTCCTAGCTGGTCTCACAAGACCTTTCCTCTCTAACATCCCATAGCTCAAGTCCAGTCCATGGATGAGAGACAATGGAGGGGAAGGTTGTTGTGACTCAGTAGGATAAGCTAGAAAATGGGAACAGGAACATCTGACTTAAGTGTAATGGCACGACAGACATGGGATGCTCAGTGAGTTCACTGAGTTCCAGCACAGACGTGGCTGTTTTTCAGTTGTTTCTCGGCCGTAGGCTCTGGGCCTACACTCATGCCCCTGCTCCAGCCTGCACAGGCCTCCTGCCTCCTGCTTTCTTTCTTTAAGGATCTTTGCAGATCCTTTCCATTCTTTAAAAGTTAAGCTCAAATGCCATCTCCTTCATAAAGACCCTTACACCTCCCTACTCCTAGCTATAAACTGAAAGTCTCCACCCATCTTTTAAATGTACATAAAAATGTGTGCGTCTTATCAATTTTTTATCTAACACCCATGCTTTATTAGTTTAGGTTCTGTAATTTGTAAGAACAGAATTTTGGAAGGATATGAGGAAGCCCCAGCTGAAAAAGTGCCTCATATAAGACAGAAATTGCAGCAGCTCTAGAAATCTAGATGTCAGCATTTCATGGACAGTCTCTTTAGGGTCTCACCATTGCTCCAGCCATTTGTGATAACTGTTTACACAGTTCAAGATTAGCCTTGCTTGGGCATGGGCCGCCCCTGGGTCAAGGGAAGCAGAACAACTATCCACGTTACTAAGCTACCAGCCAGAGGAAAATTAAGGTGCTGTGAACAGAGAGGAGATGCATGCTGGGCATATCAAACCAACAGATGTCTACTAAATGTCTGATTGCAGTATTTCATAAATTAGAGCCCAAAATCATGTTAGGAGCTCCATAAATGTCCACAAATGTGTTAGGAACTACATACATCTAAACACTGAGTATTAAATAAGGATCTATGTCTAACTCAGTCCTTGTCTTTCCTCTATGGGCTAGACACTGTGGAATAGAGTGGTAAATAAGACAGATGATGCCTTTGCCCTCATAAAGCTTATATTATTATTCATATCCCTTTGAAGGGTTCCCATAATGACTACACAATATTTTTGGACATGAATGAATATGAGAATAAATGAATGAATGCAAGTCATTTACCTATTTTAATCTCTGGATACTAAGTTGACCCATCTTTCTTTCATGACATGTCTTGCACTGAATGAATTGATTATTTTATTTTATATTATCAAGTAACTTTTTGTGTATTTATGCCTTTTCACCTGCAATTGAGATTTAAGCCCACTTGAAGGAAGAGGCTCTCCAAATCCTCATTTTTCTGCTAATATAATGAACAATAACTCATAAAGAGCTAGGTAGGGAATAACGAAAATTGCACGGTGCTGTTACTTGTTTCATATTCCTCTAAATTAGGTTGCCCATCTAGCATCCACAGGTCTGGAAGATACGTAATACTCCCCTGTGCTTCAGTCCACTGAACTTGATCACTCCCTGTTAGCTTAGGCCAACTGAGAATGAGAGCTGTGCTCTTGGGCTGGCACTCAAACCCCACCAGCCTTAATGTATTCCACCTACAACACCCAGTCTCCTCAGCCGTTTCTCCCCAGGAAAGAAGATTTACATCCCATTACAGAACTCAACCCTGAAGATGTTGAATGGGTTCAAAATGAGAGCATTTTCACCCCATATGGCAAACTCCTTAGCATCACTGTGTACCCACGTGTTATTATGAGAAGAGGATCTTTCCGGGATGGTCCATAGAGTGACTCAACGTGTATGCTGTTCTCCTTGACCTATCACTTCACCTAAGAACAGTCATAGAGTCATGGATTGTTAGTACAGAAAGGTACCTGGTCTTGAAGGACTATTGGCCTAGATAAAAGCCTAGACAGCTGTCTAAACAACTCCATTTTAAAGTGTATTTAATTTACATGTGCCTGGAATATGCAAAACCTGGTGTCCAGAGCATTATTAATGATAAGTAGAACCTCCTACCTCACATGATGTTTGCATAGTAGTCACTACCAACTGTCTATTTGTTCTGAGAAGCTAGTACTACTTAGAAAAGTACCATTCTTCTTCTTATTTATTATTGTATTTATATCACCTATTGAGTGTTTACTATGTTCCAAATTCTATTCTTGGCACTTCACATGCATTTTATCACTTACTCTTCACAATAACTCTTTAATTTCTTTTTCCTATTTCATGCATGAGGAAGCTGAAGTTCAGGGAGATTAATTAATCTTCTCCGAGTCATTCATGTGGTGAGTGGCAGAGCTGGGATATAAATAATGTTCTGTCCTACTCCATGGCCTGTGCCATAAACCATGCTACTCCATCCCCTGAGAGTCCATCAACACAAACCAGAGCTTTCATTCTTTGGATAATAATAACAGCCAACACTGAGCACTCACTATGTGCCAAATACTAAGCTAAGTGCCTTACATGAATTACTCATTTAATGCTAATTTGATAGCACAGGGTGGGGATACAATGTTTATTTTTATTTCATAGAGAGAAAAGTGAAGCTAATTAACTTGCACAAGGTCATATAGCCATTAAGTAGAAGATTCAGAATCCAAACACAGGCATTCCAACTTCAGAGTCCTCACTTTGCTCCTCTATGCCAGGTATAGGCAAACTTTTTCTGCAAAAAGCCAAATAGTAAATATCTTAGGTTTTGCGGGCCATGTGGTCTCTGCTGCACTACTCAGTGCTACTTTTATAGCATGAAGGCAGCCAAAGACAATATGTAAACAAATGAGTTTACATATTTACATTGCTGTGTTTCAATAAAACTTTATTTAGAAAATCTGGCCTTGGGCTGGCTTTGGCCTGTGGGCTGTAGTTTGTAAACTCCTACCCTACACTATTCTGCTGCTAGATAGCAAGGATGAAATGCTGACAATTTGGGAGAGGTAATAATAACTTAGAGTGCATTATACAATTTTCAATCTCCTACATTCATTTTCTGTTGTGAATACTCAATAAGGTAGGCAGGGCAGGAAGGATGACCTTTAAACCCATGAACAGATGAGGAGCCAAGGGTCATGCAAGGATGGACACACGTCTGAGCCCACGTATTCCTTTTCCACTTGTGGTTCTTTCATGGTGACTCTGGGTGCTCTTAAGAAGAGTAAGGGAAAGGAACCCTGACAGGACCAAAGTCGATTGTTGAGGTCCCAGTTTGACTGAAGACCACTGCTTGCTGATTTCTGTACAAGAGTCAATGGGACTGTGAAGCTCACAGATAGACTGCAACTAACATGTTGGCACAAGGACAGAGGTTCTGAGTTCCAGGCTTCCTCTTCTTAGCACCGGCCAGCTTTGGACTAGAGGAGGCTATGACACTGCTCCATGGCTAAAAGCCACTCTGATGAGATGGCAGAGGAGACGCCAGTCTTGAGAGGGCAGGGGTCCTCAGAGGTTCATTCAAAAAGTGAATATGTACCAAGGGACTCACAACATTGTGGATGGACCCTTTGAGGCCAAGGCTCTACCACGTGTGGGGACTCAGCCAGGAATGCTGGGCCAGGGGCTCAGTCTGGAGCTGGGGTGAGGAGCTCTCTTTGAAATAAGGGATCTGAGACTTGGGGTCTGAGCCTTGGGTCAACAAGTCTCATTCTTGGGTTAGGTTCAGGGGCCACAGTAAAGGCTACAGTCCAAGGCTGGAGTGAGTGTTCACTCAGCCTCATCTGGGGCTAGGAGGTGGGATTCACTAAAGAGCCCTGGTAGGGAGTACATCTACCTAGCTCTGCCTTTGTGCAGCCTTTGGGAACTAGCACATGAACCAGCCAAAGCAGAACAAACAAAAGCAAAGCCATTAGCCAAAGAGAAGTGGGTTGTGGGAGAGATTAGCTTTACAGCTTCCCCTCCTGGCCCAGTCATCTCCGCAATCCCCATAGTCACAAAATACCTTCTGCTGGTTCACGAATGAACCACTACCGCAAGGAACACCAGGTAAATCATCCGTTAAATGAAGGCAGACTCTTCCTTTGGCTGTCTTAATTTCTGTTCCTTGGGTGAGTGGCAGAAAAAAAATCTTTTGTTTCTTATTTGCCATTCTTTTCCTATGAAAGTCATACGTGCAAATGGGTTTTCCTAGGCCAACCAGCAAACGTACACTGTAATGCATACCCATGAACTTGATCAGCATCTGTCAATCAAGACAAAGCTTTACTGAAAGCTACAGAGGACAGCCCGAGGGTGCCCTAAATCAGCAAAATTCATCTTCTAGCTAGGATTTATCCACTGAGGAAGTGAAAGGACAAAAATGAAGGATAAAATAAAGCTATGGAAGATAAGAAGTTCTGCATCTTTAAAACCAAGTGGCAACACCAGAAACTAAGTCCCACTTCATCTATATCTGAATTCACTCCTGACCCCTGCCCTCAACTGATTTCTGGAGCTGTGAGCACTAATTAAGTTGAGGGGTAGACACAGAAGAAAAGCTGAATCATTTTTATTTCTGTTTTTGTAATCTATGGTCTCAGCAAAGCATGCTGCGAAAACGACATTTGAAACAAATGCTCGGCCAATAGAGTCTTGCAATGCACGTATACTTGCCTTTCCTTTTCCGCAGGGGTGTGAGATCAATCAAGAGTCTGCCAATAAGGGCACTTTGAACTCTGAGGCTCTGAGTTCTGGCCCTGCCTATCTCTCCCACCACATCTGCTTCCAGGCCATGACACCTCTGCCTGGGCTTCATGCTGGTCTTTCTCTTACCTTTCAGGACAGTCCCGACTTTCTTGCCTTGAGGTTTTACACAAGCTGTTATCTCCTAGAAAGCTCTTCCAACCCTCTTTAAGTGGCTGACCCCTTCGCATTCTTCAGATCTCAGCTTAAAATGTTCTCTCTTCATAGAGGCCTTCTCTAAAATACTCATCCTACTCTTTTTTTTTTCTTTTTTTTTTTTGAGATGGAGTCTCACTCTGTTGCCCAGACTGGATTGCAGTGGCGCGATCTCGGCTCACTGCAAGCTCCACCTCCCGGGTTCACGCCATTCTCCTGCCTCAGCCTCCCGAGTAGCTGGGACTACAGGTGCCTGCCATCACGACTGGCTAATTTTTTTTGTATTTTTAGTAGAGATGGGGTTTCACCGTGTTAGCCAGGATGGTCTCGATGTCCTGACCTTGTGATCCACCCGCCTCGGCCTCCCAAAATGCTGGGATTACAGGAGTGAGCCACCGTGCCCGGTCCCTACTCTTTATTCTCTATTGCGGTACCTTGTTTCTTTCCATCATACCTTATCTCTATCTTTAATTATTTTGTTTAACTTTTGGTTTATTTGTTTAATTTCATCTCCCTGATTAGGGCAAGAATCATGTTTATTTACTTATCACTATTGTCCTAGCATCTACCACAGTGCCTGGCACATGGGAGGCACTGAAACATGTCTGCTGAATGGAATAAATGCATAAATGACCAAGTAAGCTGCAGGTTCTTTATATGACTAAATGACCAAGTTAGCTGCAGGTTCTTTATATGAACTTAGTCATTTCTCCTCTTTGGGAGTTATTTCCTCATAAGTAAAATAAGTGAGATTTAATTAGCTCTAACACTCTTTCACCTCTCTAACTTATACATTTTCTTCTTTACTATTTTCCAGAAGGAGGAATGGAGGCATGACAACCAAGAGCACATGCTGCCCAGCCCAGGGACCAAAACTCAGGCCTCCTGGACAATTTCAACCACTGAGACTTTAGCAAAAGCTCAGCTGCCTTCTCTGCCAAGATGCTCCTCACTACCAAGTATTTAGTTCCCTTTGCACCAACGTTTGAATCGCTTTTCAAAGTTTCTCAAAACATGGCAGGAAACAACTCCTGCTAAGTAACAGAATTCCGGAAGACATTTGGAGAAAAAAAGGCATTTCTCACTATCCTGGAGTGTTCCCTTTGTATATCCCTGCTAAAATTAAGAGTTCCAGGAAAAAGGCTGAGATTCAAATTAATTCTGGAGGAAACAGTAAGCAAGGAAGAAGGGAGTATAAGGCACAGGAACATGTATACTATGAAACTGGGGGAAGCATTTGAGGAAAGAATGAAAATGAAGCAAATGTACTAGTTTTCCTGCTTTTGCATAACTCACTCACTCACAGATCCATGAGCAGGAGCCTCCCTGCCCCTGATTCACTCTCCAGCCTCATTCCTAACAGTTTGCCAATCACCTGAGGCCCCACCCACATAGATGCATATGAACCATTTCCTTCCAGGCCTGCATACTTTTGCATATCCTTCTCAAAAATGACCCTCCATACCTGGAAAACTTCTACACATCCTTCAAGACCCCAGCCAGATGTTGACTCCAGTGGAAAGCTTTTCACTCCTTCCAGAAAAAATTCATTTCTTCCTCCTCTAAGGTTCTAATGTACTTTCTGTCTTAGCATGTATCTTGATATTCTATAATTTCACATTTTCATATCTGTCTTCTTCATCAGACTGTGAACTTCTGTAGGACAGGGCTGGGTCTAATCTATTTCAAAAGTCTCAGGGCCTGTCCCTGACCCTGACATAGTAGATGTTCAATAACGGTTTATTGAACAGGTACTGGTCTGCTCACCTGTGACGTGAGGACCATAGTATCTGCCTTATGCGCCGTGAGGATCAAGTGAAGGAATAAGCTTACCAAAGTCCTAGATACATGTAAGCCATCTATTTATTTAAACTGCATAACCCAAATATGAGGTGGGCTGCACAGGATATTATTATTGTCCTTTTCTAGATGAGCTTCCAAGAGTTAAGTTGCTTGCTCTGAGTAGCACAGCCAATAAATATCAAACTAGAAAAAGAAAACCCAGCTGCCTGACTTTTGGTAGGATTTTCTCCCCCATCAGATCACCTATGCCTTTCAAAAATTAGCTGTAAGTTTGGTCATGCAGATTGACTAAAGAAAATATGGATGCACGTCCCTCTAAAGATGTCACAAATGTATTTACAATGCCCACTTTACATCTCCATTCTCACCCTGGCCTAGGGCTCTGCCACTGCTCACCTGTCACTGTAGACTTATTGCACTTTATCACTTGCCTTTGTCACTTTAATTCATCCCTGCCTCCACCTTGCCCACTTTCCCTTTTTCCGTTCTCATCCATCCTTCATCTAGCAGCCAGGAAGCTCTTTTGAAAATGGAAATCACATCCTGTCAAACAGATCCCCTCAAGCCCCTCATGCTTTCTCATCATGCTTTGAATAAAGTCCCAACTCCTTTGCATGACCTTTGAGAATCTGCACTGTCTAAGCGCTGTTGACCTGAAAAACCTTATCATTTCCCTTTCCCTCATCTGCTGCTTCTGCAACATACCACACCTCCCCCGATGCGGTTCTCACTGCCCAAAACTCTTCTCCCCTACTTTTGCTTGGCTGGCTTCTTGTTATCTTGCAAGGACCACCTTAAGCAGGTCATCCTGCTGTTCTCGGTCACAACATTTAGTTTGTATCCTTCACAGAACTTTACTCAAAGTCTTAATTACAGTTGAAGCCCTCTTAACTGATGCAACGTGGATGGCAATTAGATTATTTAAAAAATATACCAAAAAAACTTAAAACACTGTGAAGCACATGTATTGATCAATATTTTGATATCAGGAACTTGAAGGCACTTATAAAATAAATATAAGTTTAGATTTTCTTCCATGCTTTTCCCCAACCTTAGAGTCGTCTCTCTGATACCTAATATTACAATGATTTTAGTGATTCATCCGATAGCCTTTCAAAAGTATTTAGTTTCAGAAAAAAGACTTTCTTTTGCACTCATATTTCACTAGTTCACATCATTTTAATTAAATTGTCCAAGTATAATAAAAACACAGAAATATAAACAGGTTTGAAAACAAACAGAATTGATTCTTGATTCTGGTATGCCACCAGCAAAGGTGATATGAGCAGAAATATATGAGTTGATCAGAGAAGAGGCTACTGGCCAGGAGCTTTTGACTCACCAGGGGCATGAGTGGGAGTCTTTAGAGAGAGTGTGGAGAATGTGGTGAATCCAAAGAGATGGTTGAAGGGACAACACTGTATCTAATCATTTATTAGCTCATTGATTATCTAGATGTTCCCCTTTTAGGACAAATTTTTGAGGGCACAGCCTCTTTCTCATTTCTCAGCATATCTATCTAATGCACAACACAGTCTTTGCCATTGAGAGGTTCAATCAATGTCAAGTAAAAGAGTAAACAAGAGAGTGGACTATTTCTCTCCTTAAATGAAGAGCTTTTGTTTCCTCATCTGTAAGAGAACAGACATGGACTATGCAAACACAGTTATTTCCAGATCCAAATGGCGTTACCATTAACAGGACTTGTTTCTCTATCTCAAGTTCTGATTTCCTCCATAGGTTCTGCACACACTCAGAACACTGCATTATAGACTTCCCTTGCACTTCCACACATACACCAAGCAACCACCACCACCACAGCCATGCTGCTACATAGCCTACAACTGGGGCCACCTGTTGGTTTTAGGATGATTACTTCTCCTCCACCCTCTATTGTCTCCTTCAAGACAGCTAAGGAGATAAGGCCAGATGGTGCTAAAGCCATAAAATCTCTGCTGGATTTGCTTCTTTGAGGGTGCTGTGCAGGTCTAGAGCTGCTTTGAGCATGGGAGGGAGGGGACTTCACTCTGAAGATCTGAGGTGGGAAGCTTGGACCTGCCTTGTTCAAAGCATTGGGCAAAAATTCCTTTTTATTTCCTATTGTTTTGGGGTGGCCTCTTCTGATCCCCATAGTGCTGAGATCCAGACAGCCAAGAATAGGTGAGGGCCACAGGGAAAGTAGCTTTCTTGGGTCCTCCAGCTCATAGAAGCCCACAGCATAGCAACAGCCACGCAGTAATAAACATTGGGCTTTTTCTCTTCAATATATTCCTTTGCTTATCTCCCTCACATATCTAAGAAAAGAAAGGGGATCATTGAGGATCTGGAGAACCTGGCACAGCCACAGTGGCAACAAATGATGATGATGATGATGATGATGATAATTATCATTATTATTTCTAACATTAATTACTAATAGGTGCTTGCATATACTGAGCACTTTAATGCTAGAAAATAGACTACACATTTTACTTTCATCAATTCTTTTAATCTCTGTAACAGCTTAAGAGGGTGTACTTTATTATTATTGCCATTTAACAAAAGAGGGACTAAAACATAGGTAGGCAGGGGTCACAGAACTGATAATAGTGGAGCTACAATTCAAACCCCTGTATGTCTGATTCCACATGAGTCCTTATCACTTTGCTAAACTACCTTGCAACATGTCTATTATAATACCAAAACATTCACTGAATAAGTAAATTTATCAATTCAACATAGTGTATGTGGTATAGTATGGGGAAAACAACAGTCAAGACCCTTGCCTCTAAGAGGGTCATTCCAATGCGATGAAAGACACACTTATGAGCCACTAATAAAAATTGCATGAGAAAATGAAATAAATTCTGCAGTAGAAGAACAGCATGTTCTGCACATTCAGAGGGAAGGGCAATCCCTTAAAGAGGGAGAAGAGGGCAGATTTCCAAGATGAGGATCCTAAAGGGCAAGCATGTTTTTAAAAGTCCAAGGCAGAAATGCCTACTACATAGTGCAAATGCATAAATGCGTGTGTGCATGTGTTCCCAAGTGTGTGTACACGGAGCCCAAGTACCGCTTCCAAATCCTCTTCAACCTAGTCACCACTGCACAGCTAGAGTTGTCCTGTAAGATTGAAAGTATTTATAATCCTTGGTTTCAGGGGAGCAGGAGAAGGAAACCCTGAAAGTCTCCCAGTTTTTGTTAACTCTCTACAATGTCGCTCATCACAGACGTTTCCCACCTGCCTTCTTCTCACTTTCTTCAATGCTGAGACAGTTTAAAGTGTTTCCAATCTTCTCACTTCACTGGCTGTCAACTGGGCTGCAAGCTGTGAAGGCCCCGGAGTCAGCAGAGGGTGCTGTGAAAAGCATGCTGAGGATGCCTTGTGGAAGCACGAGCTGCATGTTTCAGCTTTACCCAAAGCAGGGAGGAAGGGGGAGGGAAGAGGAAATGAGGAGGAGGAAAGGCATTTTTGCCCTCCTCACAGCCTAAGTCTGCGGAAGAAAAGCAGAAAGGGCATGCAAACCATCCAGGGCACTGGCCTGTGAGTCAGCACACTTGAGGACTAGTACACAGGCCCACCCCTGCCTGTCTCTCTGTACAAACTTGACAATTTTCTTCCTGTCCCTGGGCTGGAGGTTCTCATTGGTAAAACAAAAGATTTGGCTGCAGTTGCCTGCAGTTCCCATATTCTATGATGATTCTCAGCAGCATAGTGGTGACTAGGAGAGGAACAAAGCTGGTCTGTAGACACGACAGAATTCTAACTGAGAGGCTGACTATGGTAACTGTCCTTCTGCACTCACTACTGGATCTGAACACACAACAAAGAGTGGACCATCCAAGGTAGGACTTTAGAACAGGAAGAGGAAATTATAAAAAGGAATCAATAATTTGCTCTATTGTATAGAAAAAAAACCCACAAACAAATCAAAAACAAAAAAGCAAGACTATGATCCAAGAATAGGCAAAGATGCTCATATACAAGGATCTGAAGAGAGGACAAATGCAGATGAAGTTGTAGGTGCATTTCGTTAACTTTTAAAATTGCCTAACAGTGGCCAATTAGCCTCAGATGCTACCCAGAAGACTGAGATAATGTTCACTGAAATAGTCATAGCACAGACAATAAAAACTATCATTTATTGAACATGTACTTAAACACTTGCATTACTAAACATGTTGTAATGTAATTGTTCCCAATCACAATGCCATGAAGAAGGTACTAGAATCTCCATTTACAGAGGAAAATATGAAAGTTCAAGGGCACACAGAAATGACAGACACAGAAATCAAAGCCAGGTCAGTCTGAACTTCAGCTCCATGCTTGTAGCCGTCCTGCCTTCGGAAAAGCAAGCACAGGCAAATAGACTTTCCTCTTTACACCAACTCCCCTGTGATGAGCAGAATCTCATCACTGCTCTATCTCTCATTCCAATCCTTCAAGGTCCCACTTAGACACCACCTCTTCTGTGAGAGTCCCAGTCAGAATTAATCCATCCTTCGCTGGGCTCTCATAGTTCTTGGCTTGTATTGCTATTAGCACACTTAACACTTCCTACCTCGTGTTAGAATTAACTATGTCTGATCCTCCCTTCACACTACACCTAAAGCAAGCTGCTTAGACGTTTGTTATGGCACTCAGCATCTTGCATCAATGCTAGCCTGCCTGGGTTTGCCTCCCATCTTATCCAGTGAGTCCTTCCTGTGAGGACAGGAGCTGTGTCTCAGGAATCTCTGTCTGCCTGATACTTAATAGTGCCTTGGGAACAAAGGCTTTCTGAGTGATGCTGAGACTTGCAGCCAGTTTCTCTGTTGTCTCTGGTCTACCGACCATGATACAACTTTTCTGGCGTACTTTTTCTCGTATGCTTTCCATGGTCAGAGTCATTGAACAATTGCTGGGCAAGGGTCAGGAATTCCTGTGTGGAATATCTCTCAGAGAACTGGGGAGGTGGGGGCATATGCAGCTCTCTCCACTTCCCATGCCACTCTCCTCGCTGCTGTCCTCTCTCCTCCAGTAGAGACCTGCCCACTTTTACCTCATTAGAATTCACTTTACAGAGAGCATCGCTTGCCCCATTCTTTTACTCTGGAGTTAGTGACTTCATTCTGACTGGGGAAGAAAGACTGATTCCTCTGAAAAAAATTGTTCTAGATTATTTTTCAAGTGAGGGGAGATTTCTGGGGCTGAAAGGCCACCTGGAACACTTGGGCTCACGTGCCTGTGTCTACTCTGGGCTAGACACCTGAGTGGTTAAGGATAAAGGGTTTGATGGTGGACAAGCCAGATTCAAAACGGTGCTTCGTCCCTTGGGCAAGTTAATTAGTAACTCTGAAACCTTTGCTTGCTCATCTGTATTATGGAAATAATAGTACCCACCCAATGGTGCTGCTCTGAGAATCAAATGCATGTAAAACGTGTTTTTGCACAGTTCCTGGCCCTGTAAATGACTACTATTGTTTCTGTTGCTGCAGTTATCTGAGGCTATATTGTTATTGTTTTATAAATAACATTATCTGGCCACTAAGAAAGATAAGAGCAACATGCAGTGGAAAATTGTACCTCTCAGTTAATAAGAAATGCAGAATCACATGTAGCTTCTAGTTGAGAGACTAAGAATAGCTGTAGTTAAGTTTCTGCTTAAAAATAACTCATGCATTTTTAGGCTATCAGAACCGAAGGTGCTTTAGAGAGCATCTTTATCAGTTGTGCTAATTTATAGAAATGACATTTCCAGGACCAATCACCTAAGCTGGGGCTCAAATCCTGGTCTCCTGACCCTTGTCCATCGTATTTCCTACTGTCTCTTGAGCTGCTGCTCTTTTTTTGGATTTAACCACGCTGCATCCCTTCTGCTTTCCCATTAGTCCCTATAGTCGCTGGGCACCATCTGAAGATCCTGCTTTGTCCAGTACCAATAAGATGATGATAATACATCTTGCTACACAGACAGTGCTGAGATGTTATTTCTGTATGCAGAGAAGTTTCCACTCCACTCTAACTGTCCCTTAGCGTCAGTCCTACATGAGTTAATTCAGCTGAAACTAATGTGCCAATGTCTATATTAGCACTGAGAGCTAAGGGTCTATACTTTCTTTCAAATGCTGCCAATGAACTCAAATGCTGATGAGAATTGTGCTGGCATTCAGCTTCAACAGCACAACACATACACACACACACACACACACACACACACACACACACACACACAGACACACACACACAGAGACTAGATTTGTCATTCTCCACATAGAGAGAGCAGAGTCAAGGCCTGGCATAGCTGGAAGAGATGAGATGGAACAAGACTTCAGGTGGGAACCTCTCAAACTGTGGAGAAGAGACCCTAATACTGAATAATCACTCTGCCCTAAATATGTCCCACACTTTACCTCCTCTCAGCATTTGCTCAATCAGCTCCTCTGCTTTTCTCTCCTATTTAAAATCATCTAGAACTTTTAATCATTTAAAATCTATTCTTATTCCTGCCATTTTGCTGAATCATCATAACCCAACGAGGAAACTATTTTTCATTCGCATTTCAGAGTTAAGAAACGTGAAGGTCAGAGGCTGAAAAGACTTTCCCAGGGACACAAAGCTCATCTGCAGAGTCAGGTCTCCCTCCCTCCAGGTTCGGTGGCCTTGTTTATGTGACAGTCAGTTGACTCTCCACACTAAGTGACGGGCGTAGGCACCAGATCGCTAAGCTTTGAATCCTTGTGCTTGTGCTTGTTTGTGGCATGAGCCTAAGCCTATTCCTTAGCCAGTCTATGCCTCAGTTTCCTCATATACAGAATCAGATAACCAGAGTCTTAATCTCAAAAGACTGAGAGGAATAAATAAGTTACTGTGTGCAAAGTGCTCAGAACATTGGCTGGCACATAATATTTGCTCAGTAAATGTTGCTATAGAAACTTCACTGGATCCTGTTTGAATTTTCTCTTTCAAGGCTGATCTGAAATGCCATGAAGTTTTATTCTGACTTTTCATAAATAAATGAAATTTCTGCTTCCTTTGGACCCTATAATCATTTGTACTTTGCTTCCAGCATACAACATAGTCTGCTCTGCACTGGTATATCAATACACTTGTTTTTCTCATCCCACTCTCCCTTTGCCCGTGAGTGCCGTGGTATCAGAGAGAGCTCTGATATAAACATATCCCCTGCAGTGCCCCGTATGGTGCTTGATGACAAAGAGGAAGTCAGTCGGCAAATGCCGGTGGCACTGAACTCAACTGAACCCAGAATTCTAGTTTCCACTAAGTCCTTGAATGCTGGGGCTAGAAAGGCTCCTTAGAGACCAACCTATCCTAAATGGATGCTGAATAGCTGGGGCTGGGCTGGGACCAGGAAAGAGCCTTGCCCAAAGTCATACAGTTAATGGCAGAAGTAGGAGTAGAAATCAAATCTCCTCACAACCAGCATTCCTGGGCTATGTTTCTCCCATGGAATGGAGGATTAACTAGACCACACACCTGAGGCAGAAAGAGCAGGATGGGACACACGAGAGCACACAGCTAAGCTTCAGCAGCAATATTGCTAAAAAAAAAATAGAGATGTACTAGGGACTTATATTCAGCAGCCAACCAGGGCTGCGGCACATGAATGAATTGTATAGCCAAGGCATCTTCTCTGTGCTGACTTGGTATGTCTCTGCTGCCGTGAATGGATCAGGAGCTCTGCACAGGAGACGTTACTGAGTCCTGAATGTATTAAAAGCATTAAATGCAAACCTTTAAATGGTTCTCTTCCTCCTTCCATTTAACATGGACTCAAACCTGGAGTCCTCAAACCTTAGGCTCTAGAACACTTTCTCCATGTTGGAATCTGCATACAGAAGATACTAAAGATGCATGTTTCTTGTATGTTGAAGATGTTTCTTACAGTTTTCCACGTGATTATCTAATCTGGTAGGGATGAGTAAAGATAAAGTCCTTTTCGGTCTGTGGCCAGAGCCTCTTCTACACAGAATACTATCAATTTTTTTCCCCCCTGTTGAGGTTTCAAATAACCTGTAAAATGTACAATGAATCAGAGATAATTTAGCACTGGTCAGCATGACGTGATCAGAGAAATGTTTTGATTCCTGGTACTGTAAAATCTTGTCTTCCAAAGTAAAACAAGGTGAACAAGTCTCAAGGGGGAAAGCTCCTCCCCCATCTCTCATGTAAATGCATCAGGGGAGGAGGATCAGTGAGAAACTGGTCCTCTCTGATGGCTGCAGGTGGGTGGGGTGATAGAGAAGCATGACAAGCAGGCACAGCCCTTGGGCGGTGACTGCTGAGGCCCATATACTCAAAGTCACCCTCAACCCAAGGTGAGCCTCTGAAAATGGGTGCAGGTTGGTGTGCTGTGCTGAGTCACGGTTAGAGAGAAGTGATCATTCACAACATTCTTCCTGGGGACAATTGCTCAGATGGCAAATAGCTCTGACCTTGGGACTTTTGGGGAGGTCATCTTCTTCTTTTTATATACCCAATAACTGAGTTATTTAAAAACATCTGTTAAATGTCTAGAGTAAAGAGTGCTTATTACGGTTAAATGTCAAGGTGAGCTGGGGAAAGTGAAAGAGACTTTTTGCAAAGGAAATTCATCCAGAAGCCATTTCCAAGCACTGACTAACTTGACAGTATCCATTTGTTTCCCTTTTGAGTCATAGGAGCAGTTATTGTCATTAGTATGATTTCAATCCATATATGGGTTTAACAAATGTGCTGCAGAAACAACCATATTCAACGAGACTTCAAAGAGCTCACCTACCATCTTACTGACGCCATAAAACATATTGAAGCAAACTGGCACTAATTTATTATCATCATTGCCTTAAACAGCCATCTTCTTAATCCTTCTGATTGATATCACTTCCCAACTATTCAACAGATGAGCCATTATGCATGTTGAATGCATATATTTTGGGTGGCATTTTAAAATTTAAGTTTCCCCTGGGCGTGATGAAGCTGACTCAATACATATGGATCCCATTATTTCCAAACAAATATTCTGTCATATTAACGCCGTCCATGTTGATAGAACTAACAGAGGTAAAAGATGAAAATGAAATTGGCTTACAAATTTTGAAGTTTAGTCTCTTAGTAAGACCAATTGCTTTGTTGTTTGTTTTTCACTGTTAAACTTAATTAGTGTCTTCTCTTTTGACAGGAAACTTTATTCTCTTTTTTACTGAATGCTCCATCCTGGGCTGTCACTTGCTACCTTTGCTAACATATAATAAGCCCCTGCTGATGCCATTGAGCTCTAAGGTTCCTTGAAGTCATAGACACTCTTACATGAATAAGAAACAACCGCAGATTTCATCCTCTCGTGCTAAGTCCTGGAGGCAGTACTCTGTACTGCAGGGTAGGCAAATGCATGACACATACACCCTCCTCTCTGAACCCAGGGAAGACATTATTAATTAATCATGGCATTTTTTTTTCCAATTGAGCCCAGTGCTCACCGAGTATTCACCATCCACATTCTTGGAAGCCATTATTAATTTGTCAGAATTGACAGGCTTGATAAAACCCATTTTCTGCCCTTGCCTTAATGGTTGAAAGCAATGGCTTTGGATGAAACCAACCTGAGTTCAAATCCCAACACTATCACTTACTTGCTGTGTGATCTAGAGTATAGTTATCCTAAATCTGTTTCTCCACTCTAAAGTGATCAACTCCTCTCACTCTACAGAGGTCTAAATTTATACATTTCTTCCTTTGAGAAACCTCTATTTACATAAGACTGAGTGTAGGTGCCGCATCTAGGCCTCTGCAAACACCCTGAACTTGAACAGTAATAGGCTAATTTCTTCTAATTTCCCTTCATTGAAGTGTGAGTTCCTTGAGGAAAGAGATTTTTTTCTTGTTCACTGTTACATTTTCAGGGCCCAGCAAAGAGCTTGGTGGAGTAACTACCTGAAAAAAGGTTAGCCATTAATACATACAAATCACTTAAAATAGTGGTAGTGATATGATATTCAATAAAAATTATCTATTTTCATATTTGTTATCATGTTCCATAAATTCAAATCTCAGAGAAGAAAGCCTGCTATGGAGCTAACTTTCACATAGGCGTGGTTTAACTTTACATTGCTATTTCTTTCAAGCTGCCAGGCATGGCAAAGGTATCCATACTTTCTGAATCTTGAGAGAACTGCATTCCTTGAGATACATTTGTATTCCTTCTCAACCAGCAAACCTAACATCAGGACTTTAACCTAAGAGGCCTATTTGATTATGTTTTGGGTCACACCCACCATGTTTGCTAACATTGACATTCACTAGCCCAACCTTTGCTCTAACATCAGCCCTTCAGAGACTTAGATGAGGTACTCGTTTGGATTACTGGGGCCCCACGATTTTCCTTAAAGTACCCAGGACCAAAGTAGGTCTCTCCAAGGATAATCACTTATGGCAGTGGTTCTCACACTTAAGTGTGCAGGGCATCAGAATCCTCTTAAGGGTTTGTTAAAACACAGCCTGCTGGGCTCCACCTCCAGGATTTCTGATTCAGTAGGTCTGGGATGGGGCTCGAGAATTTTCATTTCTAACATATTCCCAGAAGATGCTCACGCTGCTGGTGCTTGACCATTCCTTGAGAACCACTGATCATAAAATAAAGGTGATAAAAGAGGAGAACTCTTGGCTAGAGAAGAAGCCACATGTTCTGTTTAGCAGCTCCTAGAATGGTGATGATCTCCATTTGAATCCTGTAAGGTGTATTTGCAACCAATTCTCATTAAAGTCAAGAAAATTTATGCATAAATATCAGCTGTAGGACCTTGCTGAAGGAATGAAAAAGCAAGGCTTCTAAATTTTGCTGATGGAACTTGCAATTTTCCCTTTTTCTCAGTTGACAACTAGTGAAATGACTTGATACTTTAATATCTCATGGTTAATATCAGACTTTTGCAGGGTACTTCATATTTTGCCAAAGTGCCTTCATCCATATTATCACATTTGATTCTTTTAAAAAGTGCTTTGGGAGAGGCAGGCTGGAACTTAGCATCTCTTTTTGAATGACAAACTAATGGGGGCCCAAGTATGTGCCCAGATTCATGGAGTGGGTTCACAGCAGAGTAAAGTAGGACCCAGAATCTTTGATTCTTTGCCAGATTTCTTTCCATGATACCACATGGTTTCTGATGTAAGGGTCAGTTCTGAGTTTCAGCTGCTTTCATGTACTAAACTTTAATTTCTTTTAATAACAATTTTAAATTTTTTGTAAAGATAGGGTCTCACTGTGTTGCTCAGGCTGTTCTTAAACTCTTGGCCTCAAGCGATACTGCCATCTTTACCTCCCCAAATGCTGGGATTACAGGTGTGTACCACCATGCCTGTCCTAAACCTTAATTTCTTTCAGATGGTTACTGATGTTTTGAGTTATAACACATCATAAGGAGACCTACTAATCACTTAATGAGCTGCCAAGAACCTAATGATTTTTAGGAATTTGGGGATATAGATGCCACAGAAAGCCTCTCAAGAAAGCTTTAGCCTCTTCTCTAAAACAATATAGATATGCAAGTATATAATACAATTTACATATGTGATTTCAGGTTGCATGTATTAATACATGGATTCCTTAAAATCCAGGGCCACTATGTTGCATGACAGCAGTGGGCATCATTCCTCATGAATTAATTGTTGCCTGTGAAGACCATCCACAAATCATGGAAGCATAACAAAGCTATATTCTCACTGTTTTGGTTGGTTGGTTGGTTTTGTGATATTTAACAGAAGAACAAAATGAGATTCAAGAACTTAAGTGATTTGTTTTGATTACCACAGCCAAATAAAGGCAGAACTAGGGTAGGAACTACAACTTCCAGAAGGCAATGAGGTATTGTGAAAGAGAACCAGCATTAGAGTCAGGAAACCTTTCAACCTTGGATTATACCATTTACAGTCTATAAGACCTTAATATCCCCCAAGACTCAGTTTCCCCATTTTATAAATAGGTACCAAAAAAATGAAATAGTATTTTAAAACCCTAGTCTGATAGAGTGTTTTTAGTCTAATATTTAAATAGAAGAAATCATGTCAAGTGCTAACACAAGTTGTGGCACCCAGTAAACACGAATTCCCTGGATCCAGGTCTATTTCCTCAGCTCAGGCTCATGTGTAACAAGCAGATAAAGTTTTCTTTCTCTCAGGACAAGTGTTCTTGAGATTTCCCCACCGCTTCCAACTGACCAGAGGCTATAGGCTCCACCTCAGGTTCTCTGGATCAGATAAGTCTACAGATGGTGTCATTGCCTGTGCACTCAAATGATTTGGTGTTCCTTTAAGTGCTTGTCGCATTGTCTCAAGTAGAATCTCAGAGATGTTTGTGTCCTCTCTAAGCATGGGTGCAAAAATAGGAAAAAAAAAAAAAGTCTATCCCAAAGGGAAGAAAGCCCATTCTAGAAGAGCATCTAGTTCCTTCTATGTTTTCCAGTGCTCATTTCGGCATGTACAATATTCATTATTCATAGTGCAAAGAAACCACATTATACTTCCTGACCTACAGAGGGGTAATGCTTTTCACTCTAATCTTGCATTTTGTATTTGCATCTAATTCACACTTAATCAGAATTTATAGGTCACTTCTCTGTATACATTTCATGGTGTGTCACACATTAAAAAACAAGCTTCTTGTTTTAGCTCATTATAAAAGCCTAGAATGTCAGGAATGGAAAGAACTGTAGAGACTTGTTCTAACTTCCTTATATTTATCTACAGGGAAGCGGTAAGTGCTCTGGGGTGGAGTTTGGGGAAATATTGTCCTCAAGGTCACACAGTAAGGCTGAGTCAGAGGCAGCAACAACACTTGAGCATCCATTTCCTGACTCTTTAAGTTTAGTGTTCTTGCCATGTTTTCCCTGACCTGCCTCAGATTTTAAGAGGCCAGAAAGGCCAAACGGTTGTAGTAGTATTTTCCCACTCTTAATTTCTTCATCTTCTCTCTCTCTCTCTCTTTTTTTTAAAATAATTTTGTTGGACAGTGGGATAAAGTGGGATAAAGATACCTTGTCCCTTTTCCATTTTAAATAAATGGCTAGTCCTCATTGCTTGCTGCCTTTATAAGCCTTCCATTTGGCTCACCCTACCCCATGCCTTCCATTATGTGGATAGCGATTTGTCTTTCTCTCCAGTACCATGGGCTATGTCACTGCCTGATTATCCTCCTGTCTCTCAGTAGACACAGAGCCCATCTGCTCCCTTTCTTGAAGTTCCCTTACAGAAGAGGTCTTTCCCCAGAGAAAATGCCCTAACCTAGTCTTTCTAAAATGAGTAAGATCTTCGGACTTCTCAACTCGAAATGACTGGCTTGATAAAATAAAATATCCAAAATGTTCAAATGAATTAAATACAAGGATAAGTTTGGGGCTTCCTAATGTACCTCAGGACTCAGTGTCCATTTTGTATAATAACTCATAGGAGACATGGCCCCATCATTGTGGAATCTTTGAAAAAAATATGCAGGTTGAATGAGACACTTTCTTTCATTAAATGAGTCAACAGAGAAGAGGAAAAAACTGTTTAAACCAAACTGCATTTCTGACCATTGCCCTATCAAGCTAAGATCTGTCCCTGACCTAAGTGAGGTCATGACTGTGCTATCTAAGTCTGCACAGACAGACAGTTGTGTGAATTTTATGAGGTCATTATCTTGAAATGCCTCCATTATTAGCATTGTCAGGAAATGGGATCTTTGAGAAAGTAGTACTAAATAAATTTCTCTTGTAAGCAGCTAAAGAATTTTAAACATTTTGAAGAAAAATATCCTAATAGTTTCTATACATGCTTCTGCTTTTATAAAAAGAGCATAATATACAGAACTTCTCCTTGGCCAACATAGTAGTGTCACAGGTAATAAATACTTGCAGACCTAGGCACTGTATTTTATACTTCTTTCTATTCTCTTTAATTTCCTGGAATGAATCCTGGCTCATAGCAGGCATAGAATAACTGGTTCCTAGTTAATAATCATGAGCATTTGTGCATATTATAACTCCCTTAGGGATTCTTGAGGTGGTAGGGTGCTCTGTTTGTTTTCATTTCTTTGTTTCGGTCCCCAGACTGCTCCATACGTGGTGAGCCTGAAGTCTCCATTGGGCCTTCCCTCCTTGTCAGCTGTCACTCCTCTTTCTGTCAGCAGGCATTGCCCACTCCTCCAGTCTACACCCACCTGCTGTTTTTCTTTCCTGACATCCATTTTTAACAAGTTCAATAGCCAGACCTGTTAAATCACTCAACACACATTTATATAGCTTTGCAGTCAACATGCATTTGCCTGCAGGGTGCAAGAATGATGCAATTTTTTTCATCTGGCTTAGAAAACTTTATTCTGTATTTAGACAGTAGAAGTTTTCCAAAATCTTATGGTGATTTAAAGTCTGAAAGCTGGTTAAATTGGGATATATGTAGAATAAAATGCAAATTATCCTCACAGGTTGTACATTCTTAACTAGAAAGTTTGAATCCCTAGATTAGACCATTCAAGCCTTATCCTAGTCCCACAAAGATTTCTAGCCCATCCATTTCCACCTTCGTCAAATTAACAACATTAAGCCAAACGTCAAACCAAACAGGTTACCTCTGGGAAGAAAACCAGCATACAAGAAACCAAATAATTTTATGCTATTTCCCAGTTGTTACTACATCCACCCCACACATAAATCCAGGATCTTTTAATGATCATAATAGAAAGTGGGCGTTCTAAGTTGAAGAAATAGTGAGCCAAATCAGAGAAGCCCAAAGCATGGTGTACATGTGAGTTTTGAAGGTGGAGGGGAAGGTGGGTAATGCCACCAGCTTTTTAGACTCATAGTCACAATGGCAGGAGCATGTAGTGTATCAGAAGGACTTAAGGGAAAGAAGGTAGAGAGGAGGGGAAAGTTAAATAATAGACATAAAGAGAAGGATAAGCAGTTTTTAGTTGGTCATAATAAATATGAGATTAGAGGTGTGGCCTATCCTAAAGTATGCTTCAGTTGGTTTGTTCTGTAGGGCCTTATCCACTGAAAGTAGGTGGCTAAATCAAGGTCAGAGGCAAGGAGATCAATGAAAAGATTCTGTATACTCATGTACCAATTCTCCCTAATCCCAGTCACAAGGATCCAAATCACTTTTCCCAATTCTACTCAAGCTGTACAACCCTAGCAAAGGACTACATAGGTAGAAAGAGAGCCAACGTTTGTCCCATGTTTCCAGATAAACAAGATGGCTGATGACATAGAAATCTTCCCCAAAAAGAATTAAAAGCCAGCAGCCCACATTCCCAGGGAACCAAACGGCTGATTCATCTACTTCCTGAAAACAAAATGATAGTCACCATGCAGAATCTTACTTGTGTGTACAGTGGAAAAGACATAGCCATCAGGCACATACACTGGACCATTTATTTTGATATCTAGCTCTTAAAAACAGGAGCGTAGCATGATATCACGAACTCACTAATTTACAGAGCTTTTGATTCTCTGGCTCATAGGAATCTCACTCTCATCCCTGAATATCTACAGTCTTTCTTGGCAATGCTGTGAATTGTTTTTATATCCAAGGGTAGGAGATCTCTTCATAGTTCTGTACTTTTACTCAGAAGTGACCTGCTGCCTGAAATGCTGTACTCACCCAAATTTCCATAATAATAATTCAGAGAAGACAAGCAGCAGCAGCTATAGCCATGGCCAACATTTGAGTACTTACAATGAACAGACACTCTGCTGAGTTCCTGCATGTTAAGTTATTTCAACTTCCCAACAACCCAGTTTTTATCATCTTAATTATAAGGATGAAAACACTGAAGTGAAGAGAGAATAACTTTCCAAGGCTCACACAGTCAGTCGAGGCATGTGGAGACAGATATCTTAATAGCCACATGGCCTCCAACTCAACTTTTCCAAAGTCCCTTTTCCCTGATGCCCAAGAATACACTCCTCTCTTGGAATTGTGCTGTATATTAGTTGAACCATCTGATGACAATTTCTACCTAAAATTCATTCGTTCCACACTTATTTATTAAATGACTTACTATATGCTAGGGGCTGTGCTAGGCCCTGGGAGAATAAAATTGTATCCTAGAGCAAGCTTGTCCAACCTGTGGCCTGTGAGCCACATGCAGCCCAGGATGGCTTTGAATATGTCCCAACACAAATGTGTAAAGTTTCTTAAAACATTATGAGATTTTTTTTTTGCGAATTTTTTTTTTTAGCTCATCATTGATGTTGGTGTATTTTATGTGTGGCCCAAGACAATTCTTCTTCCAAAGTGGCTCAGGGAAGCCAAAAGATTGGTCACCCCTGTCCTAGAGGAACTCAAAGACTAGTTAATGGGAAACAAGTAATCAGAATGCGAGATAAGAATTATAATCAGGAAACACACCGGATTCTAAAAGGAGCATAAAGGAAGAAACAATCAAATTGTACCATGTTTGAAAAGCCTTCCAGGAAGAAGTGACACTGAATCTGGGACTTGAACGATAGGATTGTGGCAGGTGAGGGATGGAGTATTTCATACCCAAGTAAGCAGCATATGCAGAAGTGATACTGAATCTGGGACCTGAATGACAGGACTGTGGCAGGTGAGAGATGGAGTGTTTCATACCCAGGTAAGCAGGATATGCAGACCTGGAGAGACTGGGTAATGTTGCTTTCATTGATCCCTCTGTAGCCACTCCCATCCTCTGATACTGCAAAGTCTTGTAGTTCTAGTATGCCTCACCCACAGATAGTGCTTTCAAAATAAAGGGATGAAGACATTTGGCATCATTGGTTCCAGACTCAAACCGACCTGAGTTCAAATCCTGGCTGCACTAAGTTCTTGTTTCTGTGTCTTTAGGACAGAAATTAGCATCTTTAAACCTCAGTTTCAACATCTAGAGATGGGGATGAGGAAGGGTACCATCATCTTAAAGTTGTTACGAGTATAAAGATGACCTAATATATGCAGAGGGACATGGCAGAGCCCCTGGACAAAGCAACTCCCCAGTGATGGTGGCGTTTACTTTTATTTTTTATTTTATCAACAATTTTTAATAGGCAGGATCTTGCTTTGTTGCCCAAGCTGGTATGTAGAGGTGCAATCATAGCTCACTGCAGCCTCGACCGCCTGGGCTCAAGTGATCCTCCTGCCTCAGTCTCCTGAGAAGCTGGAATTACAGGCACAGGCCACCATGCTCAGCTGATTTTTAAAAATTTTTTGTAGAGGCAGGGCCTTACTATGTTGACTAGTATGGTCTCATACTCCTGGTCTCAAGCGGTCCTTTCATCTCAGACTCCCAATGTGTTGGGGTTACAGGCATGTGCCACCATGCCCAGCTAGCAGCTTTTATTCATTGTGGTGGTTATTTCTGGGTCTACCTGGATTATGAGCTCTCCATGAAAAGAAATCTGACATTTTACTTTTGTGCCTTGTTGTGCCTTGATCTGTATAGACTTAATAACGAGTACTTAGTAAGTATTTGCTGATGGATTTGTTGATGTTCATTTCCCATTAATTACTAAATAAATGTCTGTTGAGTGCTTATATGTGCTAGGAACTGTTCCACATGCCATGGAACAACTGAACAAGGCTCATTATTGGAGTTTTTATCCTAGAATTCTGAGCAGCAGTTTCATAAAACTGATGATTACTCATACTTTAAAATCACATTTGGAAAATGTTATCCATAGCATAAGAATTGCCTAAATTGTTAATGATAATAACTGTAAACCCACTTGATGTTTCTGGAGAATCTGATTCCTTATCTTAAGGCCTCTTCAATTGACTCTGTATTTTTTCCACCTGCCACTGGGTCCTGCCTGAATCTAAAATAATAATTTCCACTTCACTTCATGATCTATATCACAGCGTCCCTCTCATAGTTCTTATCAGCAATAAATGAATTTGTTAATCTTCTCTTTCTTTCTGCTGCATTCTGGTGGTACCTGAGAGGCTCTCTGTTTGCATAGAAAGAGAAATGGCTTATCAATCAAACAATTTAGGTTTTCAGTTTTGCTACTAATTGATTAAGGTATATTTTTCACTTATTCTCTCAATGAATATTAATGAAGTGCTTAACAGGAGTAGCATGGCCTGGTTGTGGGTTCAGGTTTTGGAGTCAATGCCTGGGTTACAAACAAACTCTGCCACTTTCCAGCCATATAATCTTGGGTGAGTGACTTGACCAGTTTCCTTATTTGCAAAACGGGGATAATAATCACACCTACTTTACGGGATAATTGTTGTAAGTATTAAATGAGTAAATACATATAAAAATCATAGGACACTGTGCCTGGAACTAGCAAGTTTTTAACAGATGTTAGATACTGTCACTTTATGATTGCTAACTATTGTCACTATCAAACACAAGGCACTGTCTATGGCACTGAGGAAACAATTGAGGGGCGGGGAAAACATGGTCTTTGTCCTTATAGGGCTTGTCTTCTAATAAGTGAAGATACATTAAACAACTAAATACCCAAGTAAATACAAAATTACAAATCGTAATAAGTGTCAGAAGAGAAAGGGTGGAAAGTCAGGAGAGGGTGGTATGGTGTGTGATCTAAGAAGTGTCATTTGAGCTGAGACCTAAAGAATAAATAGGAGGTGGAGCAGTGAAGAAGGTGTGTGCACCTATGTATGAAAAACTGTCCGAGCAGCGAGAGAAGCAGGTGTGAAGGCCCCAAGGCAAGGACTAAAGGCCTGTGTGGCTACAGCGTGAAGATTGAAGTGGAGAGGTCAGTGTGAAGACTGAGGTGGAGAGGTGGCTGATGCAGCGGGCAGGGTCCAGGGCGTGCAAGGGCTGATGGGGGACGTGGCACTGGAATGTTTGCCTAAGGGCCAAGGAAAGCCTGGGATGGCACATGGTTTCCTTTCTGGCCTGTTGATTTTCTGAAACTAAAGTGAACGGATTATGTAAATGCCTCTCTCAAGCCCCTTTAACGCTGAAGAATATCAGATTCTATGATGGCTGACAAAAAAAAAAAAGTGGCTGTTTCTGGGAAAAGTGTTAGGTTGGTGCAAAAGCCATTGTGGTTTGTCATTAAAAGTAATGGCAAAATCACAATTACTTTTGCACCAACTTAATAGACTATAAAGGAGAGGAAGAGAGGGAAAAAAAGAAGGGAGAGAGGGAAGTAAGAAAGAAGGAAAGAAGCGGCTAAAACTTCAGTGGAGACATGAAGCCTGGAAATAAAATGTTGAATATTCAACTCAGATACAGACCCAGTACCTATTACATGTATGTGTGTGTAGATGTGCATGACTTATGCAAGTATTTGTATATTCACTGATTTGGCAGGAACCCAAACCATGGAAAACAAATAAGACTAATGGACTGGAAATGATAGAGAGGGGAAAAAATGCTGCATCAATCATTTTGGTTAAATGCATGATTACTGGATATAAAAATGCATCTGGAACTGCTCCTGCCTGAAAGCTGGTGTTGAGGAATTGAAATGCTTGTGGAGGCATGGTTCAGTGTCTCCTTTCAGGAGCCGTTCAGTGGAAATCAAACAGAATTACATTAGGAAAGGAGTGACTGAGAAAGTACTCCCTGGAACAGAAATTTTTATTGGGGGGAGGAAAAGAAAAAGGAGCTTTAGTCCAAAAAGGACCGACTCCAAGAATACCAATTGGTTCCAGCCTTCCAGAGCCCAGAGGAACTTGAGCACTTCTTGCCTTGATATTCAGATGCGCAGTCAAAAGAAGCACACAAGGCAGAGAAAATAAAAAATAAATAAGTGTTCTTCAAACCCAGATTTCTTTTTTTTTTTTCCAGCTGAGTGAGCCTAAGATTTAAGGATTTATGAAGGGGAAGCACACACTGGTCCAACTCTGGAAACACTTTATAATGCTAATACTGCCGCTGGCTCTCAGAACTTGCTGCTGATATGGGTATGTGTGGCTGGGTATCCTACGAAGCTTGCAGCAAATGCTGGGTAAAATACTAAATTGAAGTTCTTCAGTGGAATGGGAAGTAGAAGAAGTCCCTTACGGATTATGCAAAGTTCTTTTCTGATAAGGAAATATCCACTAACAATACATCATATTCTCCTAACTACTTCCCTATTTGCCAGTAGTTCAATTTGCATATGCCTGATTTGAGCTGATAACAGCAGTTGCCATTTATTGGACATTCACAAAATATCTCAGGCACTTAATATGCATTATCCCACTGAATCTTCACAATGCATTGCAAGATAGATTCTAATATCCACCTTGTATACATGAGGAAACAGAGGCTCAGATAAGTTAACTTGCACAAAGGCATAGCCTTCTGGAATTTATGTGCAGATTTGATTTCCAAGCCCATATTTTCTTATATGTGACATGAGGTTGGTTAATAGTATCAACTTCAAATTCTCATGTTCCCAAATTTCCCTTAAGAAGACTGTAGATTCAGCATATTCACTAGTATTTCTGTTTTGTGCACTTTTCTCATTATAGGCACTCTCTCCTTATCCCTTCTCAGCACTCCTATCTATTCAAATATTTTCTCCTATCAGAACCTGTTCTGGGATTATTCATTCCCACCTAGGTGCCAATGGCAGGAAATAGGAATCAATATTTAGCAATAATTCCTTACTTTTCTACAGCTGGTGGTCAAGGACTCACATTTCCCCATCTCACATTTGGAGAGGCAGACAAAGCAAGCATTCTCCCTAGTTTGCAGGTGAGAAACTGAGGCTCTGTTAGGGAGAATGACTTGACCAAGGTCACACGATAAATTAAAAAACAGAGTCATGATTACAAACCTACATCTCCAAAGACCCAGTCTGGCACCTTTTCCAACAGAACACACTGCTTCCCAGAGGAGCTGCAAGCTCAAGGCCAGGCGGAAAACATAAATGAACAAATGAGCCGGTGAGAGAACACCTTTCCCCTGCCAGTGCTCACGTAGCTTTGGCTGAACTTTGTCCACTGAAAAGCAGGTCCAGATCTTCTTTCAACTTAGTTTTTGTTTGTTTGTTTGTTTTTTGAAAGAGAAGGTGAGAATCTGGATTTTTATATGCCATCTTATAATTTTTTAAAAAGCTGCCTCCGACTTTAATTTTAAGTCTTCGTGAGAGCCAACAATTATGCATCTGTGAACCAGAATCACCACTGACCACCAGTTTTCCACCTCTGCCTCAAAACAAAGCAATGATGGAGAGCTTGATTATGGCTGCAGAGATATCTAGCTGGAAGCCCTTTCAGTCACAGGAATATCTACTGCCTGGCAGATCAAAACCTCAATTAGAGAACAGAAAATCATGGAGATGTAAAGTTCTAACCAAAGGAGATTCAGACAGAGATACTCCAGATCCCAGGGGCTAAGAAGATTGTGCCAGTGGTGGGACAGTAAACCAGCTTTCCAGGAAAAAAAGAATGTAGGATTTGCCAGTTTCCATGGTGTAAATATTCCTACCATAGCTAATAACTACTAATGGTTTAACAATCAGTTTGCAAAATTTATGAATATTTAATAATTGGCTCCATATATTTAATAATTGGTACCAGGTCATCATAGTTCAGTCATTCCAAATTGGTTGCATATTATACGTAGTGGCAAGCTTTTTAAAATATAGCTTCCTAGGCCTCACTCCAAATCTACTAAATCAGAATCTCTGTGGGCAAATCCTAGGAGTCTATATTTTCAAAAAGCTTTCTGAAATGAGCAGCAAGATTTGGAAATCCCCATATCCAACTAAGAAAGTTGGACAGCCTGTTTGAACCATCCACCAGGTTGAAGACAGCCTGTTCAGAACTTTAAATGAAAGAGTGCAGAACTGAGATAAGAAATCCAGGGCTTTGAGAGACACACGATAAACGTGTTGAGCATTACTATACAATTATAATACTAAAACAAAATTAATTATAAATAGCTATTTTTATTTGAGTTTTTCCATGTGCCAGACACTGTTCTAGATACTTTATATGCATGACTTTTTAAAATCCTCACAAAAACCCTTGGAGATAAAGTAGCACTTTTACTTCCATTTTATAAATGGGGAAATTGCAACATAGAGAAATTAGATAACTTGCCCAAGGTTACAATGCTAATAAATAGTAGAATAAGGATTGAAATCTAGGCATCTTGACTCTGGAGACTACACTCTCGACCACAATTAGGGGAAGCCCTAAAGGCAGAGATTATTTTGCATAGAGTAGCTATACTCAGAAATTCTTCCTTGAATTAGAGCAAAGGACAGGAGTTCACTTTAAACAACAACAACGATAACAACAAAGACCAAATACTTTTGTCTTCCCCAGGGAATCTGGAAATCTTTGTAGGGTTTTCCTCCATTCCAGTAACTTTCAACAAGGTCTATTCTGAATAATCCAGTCTATGAGCATGTAGATTTCCTGATCACTGAAAGGGAGAGTTGAACATCCTACCTCATTTTCTGTGGTTTGTTTTCATCCTACTTGGATCCCAGAGGGCATTAACACTCCTTATGCTGGCAGTTGCTTTGGAAAGTGGACTTCACACTCCCTGGGAGATACACACTATCTGTTTGTAAGTCACCCTATTTTTAGTCTCCATTCAACACTGTCCTGGTCTCACATCACAACTGAGGCTAGAAATCCAGTTTTCCATTGAAAGGCTCTGCAGTGCAAAGCAGTCTGGCAATCTGTCCTCATAGAGGAGTTCTGGGCCCACTAAATATTTTAGATCTTCCAGGCATGCAGACAGTAGAATGATGCCAACCCCATAGGGGCTTTAGGAGTTCTTCTCTAGCAAAATAATAAAATAGTTAACCTCCATTTACCAACCATATCATGCCAGACTTAGAGGAAAGAAACCTAGGATGATCAAATTGTACCTTATTGGAATATTTAAGAAAAGAGTCTGGGCTGGGCTCGGTGGCTCATGCCTGTAATCCCAGCACTTTGGGAGGCCGAGGCCGGCAGATCACAAGGTCAGGAGATCGAGACCATCCTGGCTAACATGGTGAAACCTCGTCTCTACTAAAAATACAAAAATTAGCTGGGTGTGGTGGTGGGCCATGTAATCCCAGCTACTCGGAAGGCTGAGGCAGGAGAATGACCTGAACCCGGAAGGTGGAGCCTGCAGTGAGCCAAGATTGCTCCACTGCACTCCAGCCTGGGTGACAGAGCAAGACTCCATCTCAAAAAAAAAAAAAAAAAAAAAAAAAAGAAAAGAGTCTGAATCCCAAATGCCAAAGTCACTGGGCTAAGGTGAATGAGAAGGAGGCTAGCTGGACATTGTGGGAGAATGTATTCCTCATATGAAGGGAGAAATCACTGCCTTTTTCAGCCTATTGTGGACATATCTATCATTTTTTTCAAGATCAGGAACAGGACTTCCTCTTGTGTTAATGAAAGACTATGTAATTTGGACGAATACTCCCAATGAGAACAACAAGAAAAGCTGGGCAAAATATTTACAAATCTACTTGAAGATGTAGGAGAGCTAACAAAAGAGCAAAGAATAGCAGGGCTGGGATCTAAGGATGGAGGAAGCCCGGGAGGTAACCTTTGTGTTTGGAGCTGCTTGCACCTTGGGGATATTTACTAATTCTAGAGTAAGCAACTAAACAACTAAGAGGAAGCTCATTTAAGAGCTTGCCAGAAATAGAAAGATGAAATTTGGAGTCCAGGACCAAAATATGGTGATTGCAGTGGGGGAAGCTTGTTAAACCCAACTTTAGGCTGGGACTCAGAAGGGCTGCCCAATAGGAGTAAGGCTGAACTGGAAATAGACAGGTACTAGTAAGGGTTGCAGTGTAGCTTCAAATCATCTCAATCCCTGAAATTGGATTGACCTGATAATGGAGTACTAGTGCAGCAAGCAAACATATATCTACTAGGGAAAAAGATAACATCAGCTTAGGCCTCAAATTATTTCTGCAAAGAAATTTTGCAAATTCAATGTCCAGAACGCAGTAAAAAAAAACTGTTATACAGGAAGATAAGACAACATAAATTAAAATGAACAGAAAAGCAGAGAAAATAGGAATAGACCCACAGGGGCTCAAGATAATA
Source organism: Homo sapiens (assembly GCF_000001405.40). NCBI lineage: Eukaryota > Metazoa > Chordata > Mammalia > Primates > Hominidae > Homo > Homo sapiens. The sequence continues at coordinate 153,608,706 of NC_000005.10, read as the reverse complement.
GAGTAATCAGACATTACAGACATAAATTTCATAATCAACTATGCTTACTATCTCCCAGGAGATTAAATGAAGGATTGATAATTTTATCAGAGGACTGAAAACCATGTGAAAGAACCACGAAAAATTTTCCAAAATTGAACAGTATAATGACTGGCATCTAAAATTCAATAGACAGGAACAATGGCAGATTAGGTGCAGCCAAAAAGAGAATTAGCAAACATCAAGATAGATCAGAAGAATATAACAGGATTGAAACATATAAAGAGAAAATGATAGAAAATATGGAAAAGAATGTGGGTTACAGTGAAACACCTTAACATCATTGTAAATGAAATTTCATAAAGTGAAAAAAGAAGGACACATAAATGATGTCTGAAGAATTAATTGCCAAAAGCTCTCCAAACCTGACAAAAGACATCAAGACACAAATTTGAGAAGTCCAATGTACCCAAATGATGTTAAATTAAAAAAAAGAATCGCAACTAACCAGAATATTGCAAAATTGCTGAAAACCAAAGACAGTAACTCTGTACCTGGAAGTGGGGCAAAGGCAGACAGATTACTGTCAAAAGATCAACAATAAAGCAGACAGCTGACCCTTCACAAGAAACAACTAAATTACATCTTTAAAGTGCTGACAGAGAATAACTGTGATGTAGACTACATATCCAACAAAAACTTTTTTCCATAGAGAATGTAAAATAAAGACATTTTGATGCAAAGAAAAAGAAAAAAAATTGTCAACAACAGACCCACACTAATGGAAATACAGAATGATATTATTCACAAAGAAGGAAAATTATTCCAGATGGAAACTTTGAGATAACAAATAGAATAAAAGGTAATAAAAATTATAAATATATGGGTAAATATAAATAATGCTGACTGAATAAAAGAGCAGCAACAACAATAATACCATATTGTCGACTGTAAAAATATAAAAATTATGCAACAATAATAACATGTACATTAGCAGTTAAATAAATAAAACTAAGTATTCAAGGTCTTTGTACCATCTGGGAAAAGGGTGTAAGTGGCAATTACAATAACATTTGATATGCCAAGAATGAATGTTGCAATCATCAGTGTAAGCACTAGAAGAACAGTTAAGGGGTGCCTAATATTCAAATTAATACAGGAGTAAAAAGTCAAAAAAATTTAAAATTTAGTAAATCTGAAACAAGCCAAGAAAATAGTGATGTGGTTAAGTCTATCTTTAGAGAGAAATGCAAGGCTTTACAAATGCATATATTAGAAAAGAAGAAAAGATATGAAAAAAATCAATGAACCAAGCATCCATTTTAAGAAGTCAGGAAAAAGCCCTGCAAATTAAACATAGAAAAGAAGAAGTAAATAAAGTGTAGAAGTTAATGAAATAAATGTACAATAGACAAGATAAACAAAGTCAAAACCAACCCCTCAATAATTTGAGAGAAAATATGAGAGCAACCAAGCAAAAAATCCACCAATGTCAATAGTATAGAAGGTGAGATTATAAATCTACCCAGAGGAAAACAAGTCATTATATGAAAAAGATACTTGCACATGCATGTTTATAGCGGCACAATTTACAATTGCAAAAATGTGAAACCAATGCAAATGCCCATCAATCAACGAGTGGATAAAGAAACTGTGATTATATATATATATATATATATATATATCTTTTGTGATATGTTTATATCATTCTTTTAAAGAATGGGAAGAGGGAGCACTGCCTTATTTTCCTCCTGAGGTCAGCATAACCTGAATACCAAATTGAACAAGGGTATTGTAAGAAAAGAAAATTACACATACTTTATTATTTCATAATCAGGATGAAAAACATCTTAAAGTACTAACAAACTGAATAAGGAGATATTATGGTCAAGTTGGCAAGGAAAAAATAATACTCTCATTACCCATAAATGACATGACTGTATTCACAGAAAGAAAAACTGTAGAAAAAAGTGAATTTAGCAAGGTCACGAGACATAAAATCAATATAAAATTAATCATTTGTATTTCCATTTACCAGCGCCAAACAATTATGACATAATATTTTAAGAACACTTTTTATAATATCAAAAAACATTGAATACCTACAAAATAAATCTAACAAAAGATCTGTACTGAAAACTACAAAATATTACTGAAAAAAATAAAAGAAGATCTTAATAATTGAAGCAATATACTATGCTCTGGGATTTGAAGACTCAATATTGTAAAGATATCAACTCTCCCAAACTGATTGTAATTAAATTATATCCCAATTAGAATTTCTGTAGGTTTTATTTGGAATGTGACATGCTGGTTCTAAAATTTGTATGTAAATGTAAAGGTCTAATAATAGCCAAAACAATTTTGAAAAAGGGGAAAAGCTTCCTGTTCCAGATACAAAGGCTCAGTTTAAATCTAAGTACCTGAGAAATAAACAAACCAGTGGAACAGAAAAGAAAGACCAGAAGCAGAACCAGACATACTTGGTCACTTGATTTATGACCAAGATGCCACTGAAGTTTAGTGGAGAAAAGGTGATCTTTTCAATAAATGATGCTGACAACTGGATATCTATGTAGAAAAATTGATTCTAGACCCCTATACTATACCCTAAATAAAAATCAGTACCAGATGGATCATTAATTTAAGTGGAAAAACATAAGGCCACCAAAAGTTAATATAGAAGAATATATTCCTGATCTCAGGGTAGGAAAAGTTTTCCTAAACAAAATATAAAACCATCCATAAGGAAGAAACTGATAAATTGGACTGCATTCAAGTTAACAGTTTCTGTCCTGCACAGCAAGAGATACCATTAAGAGAGTGAAAATGCAAGCTATGGAAAGGAAGAAGATATTTGCAACATACACATTTGACTGAAGGCTCACATTTAGAATACCTAAAATCAATTTTTAAAAAAGGTATTAACTGTTATCACTTAAAAAAGCATATCAGCATTTCAATAAGCACATGAAATGAAGTTAAAACTCACAAATAATCAAGAGAAATACAAATTAAAATCACAATGAGTTATCACTACACCCCCACCAGGAGGGCTAAAATTAAAATGACTTACAATCCCAAGTGTTTGAGAGAATTTGGAGCAATGGGAATTGTCACATATTGATGGTGGGAGTGTAAATTGGTACAGCTACTTTGAAAAACTATTTGGCAGTATCTATTAAAGCTGAACATTCACATAACACTCCCAGGTTTATATCCAACAAAAAATATGTGCACATGTGCACCCAGACACATATACAAGAATATTTATAGACTCATTATTCAAAAGTGTAAACGGCCCAAATGTCCATCAAGAGTAGAATTATGGATGAATAAATTTTGGCATACTCATACAATAGAATCCTATACAGGAATGAAAATGAGTAAACTACACCTATCTACAATCATGAGGATGAATCCTATGAGTGTTATATTAAGCAAACGTAAACAGATACACACATAAATACATACTGGATGCTTATTGAAATGTTGATGTGCCTTTTTAAGTGTTAATAGCTCATCTCTTTTTTTTTTTTTTGAGACAGAGTCTCACTCTGTCACCCAGGCTGGAGTGCAGTGGTGCAATCTTGGCTCACTGCAACCTCCACATCCTGGGCTCAAGCGATTCTCCTGTCTCAGCCTCCCTAGTAGCTGGGATTACAGGTGTGCACCACCAGGCCTGGCTAATTTTTGTATATTTAGTAGAGACGGGGTTTTGCCGTGTTGGTCAGGCTGGTCTCAAATTCCTGACCACTGCGCCTGGCCACCTTTTGCCTGTTTTTCTACTTGGTTGTCTCTCCTCTTTTTAAACTGATTTTAGGTATTCTAAATGTGAGTGTTCCTTTCTGTAGCTTGCATTTTCACTCTCTTAATGGTATCTCCTGCTTTATAGGACAGAAACTGTTAACTTTAATACAGTTCAATTTATCAGTTTCTTCCTTATGGATGGTTTTATATTTTGTTTAAGAAGATTTTTCCTACCGTGAGGTCAGGAGTATATTCTGAATTCCAAAATGTAGACAAAATTAAACTCTAACATTTAGAAATGCATGCTTAGGTGGTAAAGTTCTAAAGAAAAACAAGGATGTTATGATGAATCCCGATAGAGGTTCTGTTTGGAGAGACAGTGTATAGAGCTAGGGATGGGCACAAGAGCATTCCTGGGGGCTGACAACGCTACAATTCTTGACTTGGCTGAGTGTTACCTTTGTGATAAAACAGTGTGCTATATAGTTTTGCCTTGAGTATGTAGGTCAGATTAAGAAAGTTAAAAGTAAGTGAGAAGACAGAAACCTAGATTTTCAAATGAAATTCTTGTATTTTGAAAGGTTAGCAACTGTTTTTTTTAACAAATTAGAATTCTGTTTGGGCCACACATATTTCATCCATGAACTATGATTTTGTAACCCTTGAAGGTAACTCACGTGTTTGATTAGGAAGTTACAGGCACTGGGTGTGGTTTCATTCTGAGGCAAGAGCTTGGCAAAGTTAGGGGTCACCCACTTTATTTGTATATAGAGACTAAAACAGGTGAAATTCTCTTTCTCCCATCTCTTCCTCTTCCCCCCACCCCTCTAATTGGTAGCAAACTCCTGAAGTAAAGCTCCAGGGAGAAATTTTAGAACTTGTTTCTGTTATTGCTGTGTATGATAGTAACATTACAAAAATGAAATAAGACTCATTCTGAAGCTTCCAAGGCATATTGGAGATTATAAACTAGATCATAAATGTATGTAAATATATATAGGTATGTAAAATACATGTATATGTATAGTAATAGTATTACCATTTATGGAGAGCTTACTATATATCCAATCCTGTACTAAAATCTCTGCTTATCATTTAATCATCACAACATCCCTGTGGTATGGGGAATTATTGGACCTGTCACACAGATGAAAGTTGAGGCTGGACAAATTAGGTCCCATGCCCAAGAACGTAGCTAGGCGGTGGCAACTGGCAAAGACATGATCAGTCCCTTCTTGTTCACTCAGCCTGTCCTTTACTAACCATGACACCACATTGGTGAGGCCACTACTCCTAATATAAGATATACAGACACTTTTCCAGAGTGTCCTAGATCTTCTAGAGCAGAGATGTCGATATTTACATATTCGGTATGAAAATAGGCTCCAGCTTCTCAAGCCTTTACTACCTTAGGCACTCAATAAATACTGGTAACTGTTTTTTTTTAATTATTATTATACTTTAAGTTTTAGGGCACATGTGGCGATTCCTCAGGGATCTAGAACTAGAAATACCATTTGACCCAGCCATCCCATTACTGGGTATATAGCCAAAGGGCTATAAATCATGCTGCTATAAAGACACATGCACACGTTATGTTTATTGTGGCACTATTCACAATAGCAAAGACTTGGAACCAACCCAAATGTCCAACAATGATAGACTGGATTAAGAAAATGTGGCACATATACACCATGGAATACTATGCAGCCTTAAAAAATGATGAGTTCATGTCCTTTGTAGGGACATGGATGAAATTGGAAATCATCATTCTCAGTAAACTATCACAAAGACAAAAAACCAAACACTGCATGTTCTCACTCATAGGTGGGAATTGAACAATGAGAACACATGGACACAGGAAGGGGAACATCACACTCTGGGGACTGTTGTGGGGTGGGGGGACAGGGGAGGGATAGCATTAGGAGATATACCTAATGCTAAATGACAAGTTAATTGTAATTGTTATATACTGTTCATCTTCCTAGTTTCCCTGGGACCCATGGTATAAGCTTAGCATGATTAAACAAAGCTCAGATCAATATCTATGACAGTTTACCAGCCTGAAGACAAAGGGCACGAGGGACAGAAAGAAAAGAACTTAAGGGTTGTGACTATTAGATAGCTAAGGACAATACTGGCCAAACAGTGGATGTTCAAGAAATTCAGAAAATGAAAACACTTTGGCCTTGGAAAAGACTGCTAGAGAGAGTCTGTTCCCCTTCCTCCATCGTAGAGATGTGGGAACTGTAGCCCAGGGCTGTAGGAGGTACTGGGGTAAAGTGGCAACTAGCTAGCAACGATGGCTGGACTTTGGGCAAATTACTTTATCTTTTTTGGCTTCATCATCTATCAAATGGGAGTGTTAGAATAGAACATTGCTGTCTAAGAGCAATTCAAGCTATATAGTGTCTTTTTCTTATTTTATTTTCTTTTATTTTATTATTATTATACTTTAAGTTATAGGGTACATGTGCACAATGTGCAGGTTAGTTACATATGTATACATGTGCCATGCTGGTGTGCTGCACCCATTAACTCGTCATTTAGCATTAGGTATATCTCCTAATGCTATCCCTCCCCACTCCCCCCACCCCACAACAGGCCCCAGTGTGTGATGTTCCCCTTCCTGTGTCCATGTGTTCTCATTGTTCAATTCCCACCTATGAGTGAGAACATGCAGTGTTTGGTTTTTTGTCCTTGTGATAGTTTACTGAGAATGATGATTTCCAATTTCATCCATGTCTCTACAAAGGACATGAACTCATCATTTTTTAAGGCTGCATAGTATTCCATGGTGTATATGTGCCACATTTTCTTAATCCAGTCTATCATTGTTGGACATTTGGGTTGGTTCCAAGTCTTTGCTATTGTGAATAGTGCTGCAATAAACATAAGTGTGCATGTGTCTTTATAGCAGCATGATTTATAGTCCTTTGGTATATAGTGTCCTTTTCAAAATAAGTCTTAACTGCAATGCTGACATGACACAGACAATGGAGGGCACAGCTAAAGAAGTGAGGATGAGAGAACAACTTTGTCCTATTGTTCCTCCTTCTCCTTTCTAGCAGCCCTGGAGGCATCTCCTGGCCAATACTAGGCACATAGCAAGTTCACAATGAATATTTGCAGAATAAGTTGTGAACTCTATAATTCTGTACAGCATAATTGATAACAATCTGCATTAGGACTCTCTAAGGTCCCTTACAATTCAAAAACTTCAGTCATCTAAGGAACCTGCCTGAAATCATCCTGTGAACAAGGTGGGGTTGCAAACTGGCTCTCCCATCTCACATTTCAGGCTCCTAGAATTTGTTCTCTGGCCACTTGGCCATGAACTAGTTTACTTAGGAGCTTTTCAGCTCAGCCCTAACAATCTGGTGTTGAATAGAGAGGTGTTTTCCGCTCTGATTTAATTTTCACTTTTGCTTTTAGACATGGGCACTGAGGACATGAAACTCACACATGTGAGAGTATATGAACCTTAATCCCAAGACCTTCATGTCCCAGCAAAAGGTCAGAAACCAAAAATGCCTTCATCTTTAGCAGTGAGATTATAAAACAGCAGGGCTGTAAGATATTAAAAAAAGTCTCTTTGTGAAGTATGTGGGCTTTAGTGCACTTTTCTGGAAATAAGAAGTTAAAAAGTAAGAATATGGATCACAGAATCAGACAGACTTGGTTTAAATATTTACCACTTATGAGTTATGAGATCTTAGGTAAGATTCCAAACTCTTTGAGGTTTTGGCTTCTTGCTTGTAAAATGGGGATAACAGCATCTCTTATCTCATGGAGACATAGGAAGCAAAATACTTAAAGTGCTAAACACAGGGTCTGGCACCAGCATGTGCTCAGTCGGTGTTAGCTGTTTATCATCATTCTGTTCATCCAGCGAATGAATGAATTTTCTTGACAATGTCCCTGCAAAGTGGTCCTCTACTTGAAAACTTCCAGTGAGAGGAAGTTTCTACCTCAGGAGGAATCCACTTCATCATCAAGCATCTGATCAGCTCAGACTTCCACCTTCCTCATGAGATAAAGAAGTGCCCCGAGGCTAGGATGCTCCAGGTGGGATCCCAAGATGTGATGCTGCTCTGACAGCTGAAGCTACAGTTAAACTTGAAATAAACAGAAGGCTTCACCTCCCAGGTCTTTTGGGTTGGCAATCTCTGTGCAAAGCTCATTTAATTCAAGTTCCCAGGCTGTGAGACATAAGGAAACTCTGAAATCAATTTTTAGCAGCAAGGTTCCATGGTGGTAGACGTGTCTCTGCTTCTTCTCCCAGTTTCCCTTTGGCCCCCCAGCCTGGCAAGAAACAGACAGGCACTTCTCCTCTTTGGTCTCCCTGGGATGTTCATTTTTCACTCTGAGGCTTGAGATCACCATTTTCTATGTATGTAGGTGCTTTGGGTATAGTGGTCTGAAATTTCAGGTGCCTCCTTTGACTTTCCACAGTCAAAAACCTGGGTGGAAAAGCGCTATTTCTTTCCTAAATAAATTCTGGATTTGAGGGCATTTCTCTTTTTCTACTGATTGAAACCTATCCTTACAAACTCCATACTTTTTTTTTTTTTTTTTTTTTTTTTGAGATGGAGTCTCGCTCTGTCGCCCAGGCTGGAGTGCAGCGGCGCGATCTCGGCTCACTGCAAACTCCGCCTCCTGGGTTCACGCCATTCTGCTGCCTCAGCCTCCCGAGTATCTGGGACTACAGGCGCCCGCCACCACGCCCAGCTAGTTTTTTTGTATTTTTAGTAGAGACAGTGTTTCACCATGTTAGCCAGGATGGTCTCAATCTTCTGACCTCGCGATCCACCCGCCTCGGCCTCCGAAAGTGCTGGGATTACAAGCGTGAGCCACCGCGCCGGGTCCAGACTCCATACTTCTATTACAAACAGGAAGAGATGGCTCTCACTGTAGACTCTCTGACGACCGGCGCTATTTGGCAACAAGGTGCGCAGTGCCTCCGTGTCCACCTTATCTAGCGGGCTTCATCTCCCTGCACACACTTTAGTCAAGCCGACAGCCTTCTTCCTTTCCCCTGTGACTCCACCATGTACCTCAGGACTTTTACTTATGCTATTTCTCAGGCACATTTTTCTTTTCCCCTCCCTTCATTTACTTCAAAGTCCCATTTTCTCTGGATCTTTAACTATCTATGATCTTGGCCCTTCCTGACCACCCAGAATAAATCTCTATATTATAGAGTTAGTCGTTTAAGTCTTCTCAACTGGTGACAAACTCACTGGCGGGCTTGCACCACTCTCAAATAATTTGAGTACAGTTGCCCCTCTGTATCTGTGGGTTCTACGTTTGCAGATTCACAACTGCAGATTGAAAATATTAAAAATAAAATTAACAACATAACAATCAAAATAATAAAGTGTGGCAGCTATTTACATAGTATTTACATTGTATTAGGTATTATAAGTAATATAGAGATGATTTAAAGTATGTGAGAGGATGTGCCTAGGTTATGTGCAAACACCACGCCATGTTATATAAAGGACTTAAACATACCTAGATGTTGGTTATCTGTAGGAGTCCTGGTACCAAACCCCTGTGGATATCAAGGGATTGCTGTACTGTCTAAGTGCCATCAGCAAGATTGTGATCTTTTAGGATAAGTATTGTGAATTAAACTTCTTTCATACTTTCTAAAGTGCTTAGCCTAGAAGATGCTCAGTAAACTTTCTGGACAAAATAATCTAGTTGAGGTAATAAAAAGTGTCAAACTAGAATTAGCAATGGACTTCAATCAGCCAAAAAGGAAGGAAATTATATAAAATCAACAGCCCTGGCCGGGTACAGTGGCTCATGCCTGTAATCCCAGCACTTTGGCAGGCTGAGGTGGGTGGATCACGAGGTCAGGAGATCGAGACCATCCTGGCTAACAGGGTGAAACCCCATCTCTACTAAAAATACAAAAAAACTAGCCAGGCGTGGTGGCGGGCGCCTGCAGTTCCAGCTGCTCGGGAGGCTGAGGCAGGAGAATGGCATGAACCTGGGAGGTGGAGCTTGCGGTGAGCCGAGATTGTGCCACTGTACTCCAGCCTGGGTGACACAGAGAGATTCTGTCTCAAATAAAATAAAATACAATAAAAAACCTAAACAAAATAGCCCCACTCCACGGAAGCTTTATTAAACCTAAATTATTGAATGTTAGTGAGAAAAAAAAGCTGCCGTGGTTTAACCTTCATTTTATTCTGTTAAAGTATCATTGGACAGATAGATTGTAGATTTTCAGTGGACCATATCATAAACTCAAGAGCCCAATAAATATTGGCTATAAGGAAAGGAAGAAACAAGAAATTCCTAAGAAGGAAATACAGATCCAAAGGCAGTTAAGGAAGGCAGTTAAGGGAGGCTAATAAGTAAGATTGTCAAACTCAGTTCTCCACGAGACCACCTTAGGATCTGAGTCCTTCCCTCACCTCTGCTGCTTGGCATTCAAGGCTTTCCAGATTCTAAGCATAAACTGCTTTTCCACCTTATCTATTATATTTTTCTTACTTTTTCCCCTGTGTAACTGCAAATGGATTGTCTGGTGTTCCTAAAATATACTTTTAATTTGGTGCTAGTCTCTTTGCTTTTATTTTTCCCTTTCCTCTAATAGGTACTAAACTCAACCCATAATTTAACTGAACCCAGTCAGGTGCTTCCTTTCTGAAACCATCAGAATCAAATCAAAGGTAACAGCACTGACAGGATGTGCTCTTCCTATTCTTGCATTCTCCCTCCCCCAAGTAGTTTGAGTATACTACTTTGACAAGACTTAGTATATTTGATTATATATATAATTGCCATAATATATAATAACATGTGATAGTATATTATTATATAAAATATCCACTATATATAATCATTATACATATAAAATCACATTTATACAATGGTCATTATATATGTAATCTGTTATTTACATGTCATTCTCTAGATCTGCTTCTAAACTGTGATCTTCTTCTTTTTGAGACTGAGTTTCACCTTGTCACCCAGGCTGGAATGTAGTGGCATGAACATGGCTTACTGCAGCCTTGACCTCCTAGGCTCAAGCAATCCTCCCAACTCAGCCTCCTGAGTAGATGGGACTACAGGTACATGCCACAGCACCAGGCTAATTAATTTTTTTTTTTTTTTTAGAGACGGGGTCTTGCCATGTTGCCCAGCCTTGTCTTGAACTCCTAGGTGTAAGTAATTCTCCTGCATTTATCTCCCAAAGTGCTGGAATTACAGGCATAAGCCACTGGACCCAGCTAGACTGTGATTTTCTTGAGGGCAAGTATGGTTTTTTAGCCATCTTGGTATTTCCTTTGGCACTCAGAAATAGCAAAGTTTATTCAATAATAGGTAAAACTAATGTTAATATTTTAAGAGTGCTTCTATGTACTAGGGACCATTGCATTATCTCACTGAATACTCAATCATCCTCTGAAGCAAGAACTCATTGCTTCTTTTTAGATGAGAAAAGTGAGGCTCCTAGGCTTTAAATAACTGGTCTGAGGCCACATAGATGTGAAATGAAGCAACCAGAATACAAACCCTGGCAGTCTGCCTATAGAACCTGAGTTCTTGAAAAAGATTTGGTGATCCCCTAATTGGGCCACAAACCTAGAAAGAAGAATAACATGCAAAATTGCAAAATGGGGTGCAGGATCCATGGCACAGACCTTCAGAGATCCTGCCTCTGAAAGTCTCAATAACCAATTCATATTCAGGTAGTCCCTGAACGTACTAAGAGTTGAAGTATACAAAGGAAAAGAGGGAAAGTGAGTTCTAAGGACCAAATTTCTATTGACCAAAGCGCCCCTTCAAAACAGGGCTTAAGGCTCTGCAGAGCTGAAATGTTCAAAACCGTCAGTCTCCCGCAGAGTGAACCCTTCAAAGGACCTTAAAGAAGCTTTCCTGGTGGTGTTTGCTTGCTCTCTCTGCTTCATTCCTAGCAGAGGAGGCTGCAGACAGCCAAGTGTGCAGAATGCCTGGGGAGGCCACGGGACCGGGTGAGCTCAGACCATTCCCAGAGACCCTACGTCCACCTCTTGCCTGACCCATCAGCCTGTATGACAGCTGAGTGGCACTAGCACCGGCTTGCCGGTGGGACCAGCTTTAGCAAACAAATATGATTTTTCATTAAACAACTTGTTCAACTAGCAAAGATTAGTGGTGCAGAATCCCCTCTTCCTGGAAAAGGAAGGAGAATAACTGGCAACCCATTTTAATCTCTAAGGCTGAGATATTACATTTCATTTGAGAAGGGAGAGTAAGGACACCAGAGACCTAACAAACCACAACACTGAGTTTTTAGAGTCTCCATCTCTCCTGCCTCTCCTCCACCCAGCTTTTCCAGCGTCAGAACAGGGGCTCCAAGTTGATGAACAGAGCCTTGGATTTGGAGTCAGGAGTGCTGAGTTCTAGATCCACCTCTCCCATTTGTACCTGTGCAACCTCCTGAAAATCAGGGGCCTCCATTTCCCCATCTGCAAAATGGAGCTCTATGTAATACCTGTTGTAACTGCCTCTTTCACAGGCCTGCTGTGGGGATCAGTGAGCCAGTGTATAAAGGGGTTTTGTCAGCTGGAAGCCACAATGTATAAACAATGGAATTGTTTGTTGGATTTTGAAATGTACATGTGGACAGAGCCGAAAACCAAATATGAACAAAAATAAAGTGGCTGGATCTTGCATACATTTTTCAAAGAAAAGTGAATTTTAAGATGCTTCTGATTTGATAATTTTTAAACATTCCAAAAAGAATAGATGCATACTTGTTATACCCTGTGTGGTTAAAAGACTCTCTCATTTCACTCTGTCTAAATCATTCCCAGCCTTTTCTGGGATGCCAGCCATGATGGATGCATCCAAATTGATCACTCAGGCCATGAAATCTGTCACTCTTAAACTATGAAAATGACATAATTTGCTACTTAGTGACAGTGTTGACCTGTTTTTTTTTTTATTGTCTATATATGTGTATTTCCCTAATAAGGTTATAGTCCTTGAGGGAGCTTTTATGCATCTATGTGACCTCTCATGGAACATGACACTGGGAATTTAGAAATGACTGAATATATATTTAAAAGCACTAAGTTAGCCAAAGAAGTATTTAGTGTTCCAATCCTATGTGCCTGCCCAGCATTCTGTGTCTAGCACTTTGTTAGTTAGTAAAGGACTAAAGAACTATTTCTAAGATGTAGACCGTATTTACATTATATTATATATATTAATTATATATATATTATATTATATTATTTAACTCATATCTTGCTTTTTAGATAAAGGTTTACAATTAAAAAGCATTTCACAATGTGAGCAATAAAATAAATGAAATGGTATTGAATTATAACCCAAAGTATAAAATAGATATCCTTGAATCCATATTGATATAAATAAATGACTGGATATGTAAATAAATAGTGAGAAGAAACAAATTTCCCAGTCAGAATAATTTGAAATAATTTACATAGACACTCTGCCCTCAAAGAGGTAGAGTGTAACTCATCACTTCTTAAATGTAGACTGGACATAGTGACTTCTTTCCAAAGAGCTAGCTAAACAAGTATTTAGTGTTAGTTAATAATAATGTATTAGTATTAGTATTGGTTCATTAACTGTGACAAATGCACCACACTAATGTAAGATTTTAATCATAGGGGAGAAAAATGGAGCACAGAGTATTTGGGAACTCTCTGAACTAACCTTGTGAACTTTCTGTAAATCTAAAACTACAATAAAAGTTTATTTTAAAAATTACAGTTTCACAACACTGTGTCTGATGCATGTGATGTGGAACATACATGCTTATCTTTGCTATCTCCCCCAAACTCACATAAATCACAGCAAAATAATAAAATAGGTGTGAATATACAGATCAAAGAGAAACTTAAAAGAGGGAAGAGAAGACAAAGGAAGTACAACATCTGAAGGATGGAGAGTGGATGAAGGTAACTGACTTAGCAAGGTGAAGAAAGCTGAAATAACCATCTGTGAAGAGGAAGTGAGTAGAGTCAATAAGAAGAAAGCCATAAAACCACAGATCACAAGAAAGGTGTAAAAATATGAAGCACTGGATACTTTGAAGTCTGAGGTATGGGATGGGGTAAAACCTGGTGGAAAGCCCCAGAGCCCCTGCCCTAGCCTATGCAGCCAGGTAATCCCTCTTTTTCAGCCAAGCAGAAGACTGGGGGTGGACTCTGAAGAAGACAAAGTATTTAGACTCTAGGTTAGGATCACCAGGTATAGCTGAGAATAAGGGAGAGGACACTTACTGGCCATCTTCCTACTTGCATGCAGAAGAGCCCATTGGCTTTGTGGTACTTATAAGAGCAGATAGTCAAGGGCCTCTAAATATGGAGGAGGGAGAGGGAGAAATTAAAATTAACAAGCAAATGAATGAAAATAAATCATGGGAAACAAGCACAATTTAGGGACCAAAAGAACACATTAAAAAAACATACACTCATTCTAGAGTATGAATAGAATGCTATAATGAAGGAAAAATCAAAAAGCAAAAAAGAACTCTAGGAAGTTAATGCAGTAGATAAATATATTAGTTGACAAAAATACTGAAAGACGAAGTTGAAGGTATCACCCAAAAAATAAAATAAAAGTCAAAGAAATAGAATCTTGGAAGCCTAACATATGGAACTGCAAATGAAAGAGCAGAAATGAAGGCAAGGATGATATCAAATAAATTACAAAAGAAAATCTCTTAAAACTGAAGGGTCTGAGTCTTCAGGTGGAAAAAGCTTACAGAATGTCTTTCTAGCCCCATGAATGACCTGTGAATTAAAAAAGGCGATTGTCTTGAAGTTAGAACTTTAGAGACAAAAAGATAATCGTAACAGCTTCTGGAGGAGGAGAAGGGACAATAAATCCCAAACAAAGAAGGAGCATGCAGAATAACATTGGACTTTTTAATCAGCCACAATGGAAAAAAGAAGATAATGAAATAATGTGTGCAAAATTCTGAATAAAAATTATTTCCAAGCTTGCATTTCATCTCCAATCAATGAAGTTTAAGAGTGGAATAAAAACTATTTCAAATATGCAAGATCTAAAAATTTACCCTCATGTTGTCTTTCTTAAGAAACTACGGGAAAATGCATTCTGCCAAAATGAGAGCATAACTGGTAATGAGGAAGAATGAGATATAGAGAATAGGAGAGCCTGAACTAGCGAAAAGTGTTGGTCCCAGGAAGATAGCTCTCCTGCAGGTCACAGCAGCAACCAGGTCAGGCTTCAGCTGAATGGGGCTCCCAGAGGAAGGTCTCTGGGAAAACCATGCAACTGAGAGATCATCTCACACTCCTGATTGTAACTGGGAGGAATTCTGTGGTTTGCTCAGAAATTTTGGATCTGAGTCAATGATAAAATATGCAGAATAAAATAAACAAAGCAAGCAAGCAAGCAAACAAACAAAAAACAATAAAGCAGAAACACAAAAAGTTTAAGAGTGTGCTATTTGGCTTGGTTGTGAAGGTATTTATTTAGTCATCATAACGTAAATACTGAATATTAATTTAATATTCTGCATCTGCCATAGTACAGTCAAAAACTAATATCTAAAATTGAAAAATCAGGAAACGGCATTGCTATGGACTCCATGTTTGTGCCCCCTACACAAATTCATAAGTTGAAACCCTAATCTCTAGTGGGATAGGATTAGAAGATGGAGTCTTTGGGGGGTAATCAGATTTATTATTATTTTTTATTTTTTTGAGATGGAATTTTACTCTGTCACCCAGGTGGGAGGGCAGTGGCGTGATGTCAGCTTACTGCATCCTCCACCTTCCAGGCTCAAGTGATTCTCATGCCTCAGCCTCCCGAGTGGCTGCGACTACGGGCATGTGTTACCAAGCCAGGCTAATTTTTTGTATTTTTAGTAAAGACAGGGTTTTGCCATCTTGGCCAGGTTGGTCTCCAACTCCTGACCTTGAGCAATCCACCCACCTCGGCCTCCCAAAGTGCTGGGATCACAGGTGTGAGCCACTGCGCCTGGCAGTTAATCAGATTTAGAAGAGGTCACGAGGGTGGAGCCCCATGATGAGACTCTAAGAAGAGAAAGAGACTCAATTTCTCTCTCTCTCTCCTCTCTCTTTCATGCAAAGATGCAGCAAGAAGGTGGCCATCTGTAAACTAGGAAGCAGGTCTTTGCCAAGACCCAAATTGGCCTCACATTGATCTTGTACTTCCCAGCCTCCAGAACTGAGAAATAAACATCTTTTGTTTAAGCCACCCAGTCTATAGTATTTGTTATAGCAGCCCAAACCAGAACAGGCAATACAAGAGATACAAAGGTAAAATATCAGAAGAAACAGCTAAGAGAGCCTAAAGTGATCCCCTATGAGAGCTGGAATCCAAGATAGAAAGGGAGGAGGGAAGAGAATGTTGAATTTTGTCTTATGACTTGAAGTAACATTTGATTTTGTAAGTTATACATGCATTATTTAGGGAGAAAAAATAAATTAAAAATGTCCTTGTCCTACCAACTAGTGATGAGAAAAATCTCCTTTTTACACAAGAGGAAACTGAGGATACAAGAGATAAAGTGATATGCTCAAAACCACAAAGAGACCACGGCACAGACAGGACTAGAATCTGGGTCTCCTGACTCCCAAACCTGGACTCTGCTAACTCTAGAGGAAGCTGGAAGTAGTAGAATTCATCTATGCTGTCAGGCCCCTTGGCAGGAATTCAATGGAATCTAGAGCCATCTACTAGTTTCAGGGACACTCTCTGACCTTTACCACCTTCTGTGAGTTCTGAAAAACAACAGGCCATGGCTTGGACAGTTCAAGGAATACAGCCTCTTGCTATGAAAAGAACCAACTTCTAAAATCATCTTTCATCAGCCCTTAGTTTCATGGCCATACTCCTCCCCAACCCCTCTGGATGCTGTGTGCTTTTATAATATCACTGCCTTTACTCTGGGAAAGAAAAACTAAGGTGGGGCAAAAGAATAAAGCCCGAGATGTTTTTGCCTTTTGAAATCAGTCATTTGCTTTCCCTCCTCACACACTAAAAGGGGTAGCCCACTTCTTTTTCTTCCGGGTACAGTTAAAGCATGTTTTCCTAATATACTTTCTATCTTTTGAGATGATTCTTGGTTTGGACTTTTGCTTTCATGTTGCAATCACAAAAGGTTATTCTACTTCCTTAGTTTGTAGTTAATAATCTGGCCTACTTTCTGACTTGTGTGGCATTCTTGCTGCAGGAATCTGCCTTTATTCAATTCTGTGCTTTTTAAATGCCTTCCTTGCTTCTTAAATAACAGTATGCTTCTTATGGTCCCAACCCCTTCCTAGACCAACCATTTCTTCTTTAGTTCATCCAACTTCTATTGAGTGCTTCTTGGTGCTAGATACTATGTTGGGTTCTAGGAATTCAGCAGTGAACAAAACAGATTTTACCTATGTCCTCTAGGAGCTCACAGTTGAGTGAAAAGGCATATACAAGATAAATAATTATTGCCTACATGTGACCTAGTGCTATGCAGGGGAATTTTATGTATTATGAATACCTGTGAATGAGGATCTGACCTAGTTGGTATAGGGATGTGTTGGTCAGGGTTTTCGTGCGATACTCAATGGGATATCTTGAATGTCTAGCACAATGCTGCGTGACAAATTAGTGCTCCACAAACACTGGCCATTTCTTAGATGAATATCGTTGGAATGGTTTTGAAAAGTTAAGAATGGTCTGTAAAATTACACTCATAATTTTCATGCCCTAAGGACAGGCAATTAAAAGGTCAGGAAGAAATTCCTGGTATAAAATTAGGCATAAACTAGATTGGGGAAAAATTATGGGAAGGAGTCTGCATAGATAGACAAGGATGATCTAGCTGACTTCTCCACTCAACTCTTCGCTCTCTTCAGATTCATTCTGAAAAACAATTTAAAATTGTGTATCTCTGTTTGATGACTCTTGAATAACTAGGACTGGGTCAAGAAGGAACTAAATCTTTTGACACTGAGTACAACAGCCACAATATAGCAACCCACTTTGCAGTGCTTACAATTAACACAATACCCCCATTTAAAGGGGCAATGCTTAGACCATTTCACACTCTTACAAATAATCTTCTCAACTTTAAAAGGGTAAGAAAAAAAGGTGGTATTCTTCTAACAAGCACAGTACACATCCTAAACAAGAACAAACATTTATAGACATAGGAAGTTGAAAATAAAGTTTAAAAACTAACAAATGCAGGTTTACTGCTTTTATGATAACTTGGTATAGATAACAGTTTTGAAGAGGTAAAATAAGGATGCCCTTGTTTCACAAATTTTTTTTTAGGAAAATATAGGTGTAAAGTAAATTTCTTTAAAATTGGTATCATTTCCACAAAGCCTGTTATTGGTAAATTAGAGAAGTAGTCCTGTAGGAAAAAGATCTCCAAAGCATTGAAGAAGAGATACATATATTGTAACACACACACACACACACACACACACACACACACACACACACACACATTTCAATAGCTTGTTGAGTTTGCACATTTTAAGAGTTCATCAACAATACTCACAGGACTCTGGCGGTCTCTCAGTCTTGATTTTTCCATTTTATCCAACCCTAAAAACCTCTTAGAACTTCAGTATTTTACTCTTACCTGCAAAGCTGCTGTTTCCATATCTGCCATTCTCTGCATTTCTGATTCCTCCCTTTATGTTTTGTGAACTTGGTATAATAAAGCTTGGCCATAATGCAACACTTTCTTGGAGGCTTTTACTATCATCTACTAATGCAATTTTTTCGAACTGATGTAATTTATGAACGCTTTTTGAAGGAAACTGTTCTTCTGAATCCACAATGTTGACAAATTATATTTACTATAATGATACTTGAAAATGTACAAACATGAAGTCAGAGATCAATCCTTTATTTATAGCTATCTTAAAACTATAAAACCAAAGGAAATTTACAAATGAGACAAACACAAATTATAATTTCAGTACATTTTGAATCACCAATATTAATTTAATGTTAGAAACAATGGTATTTGTTTACTCCAAAACACCATTTGTGACAGCAATATAGTACTGTGCAATCACATTGATTCTGTGAGCTCAGCACACCTGAACTACTGTGCGCTGCGTGAATATTCAGTTTCTTCAACAGCATCTTCCCTCTTTTTCCATACAGTACATTATTATGTCAGTGAGCCCTCACCCAGCATTATTTTACTATGCATTATTTCTGTATCAAATTTTCTTTTTTCTGTTCTCGATAGTTTATCACAATTGCAGTAGCAGTTTATAGTGCCAACCTGAGAGTAAATGCAGATGCACGCAAGGACTCTGAACCTCTGGCAATACTCAGTAATGAAATGATCATTTCAAGACATATTTATTATTTTCTATGAAAATCAAAATAAAACCACCGAATCACACAGACAAACAAGCGAGCACATGTTAGAGCACTTGAATCCTAAGAAAAAGTTGCTGGGTGGCCGATTTCAGTATGAGAAGTTTCTAACATACCCTTTTATAATAAATTTATATCTAATATTGCAAATTCTACAAAGCAAGTGTGGGAACAAATTTGTTGAGTTTTTAAAGTTGAAATTTGGCAAAAATGTACTTAATTAAAATGAAAAGTATCCATCAGGAGCTTTGAAATGTATAAATTAATTCACATTTGAAGAGATAAACCAACTGCTCGGGGCACTTCCATTAGAGTGATCCAAAATTGATGCACCTCACAGAATAGATATTGCTTCTTTTTTTCTTCCTGGAAGGATCATATATAATATTTTAAATTTCTATACCATCCTTCCTCCAGGCAGTATAAAGTACTTCATAAACCTTATGTTGATGATGTTAACATACTTGTGAGACTAAATAAATGGTAAGCAACATGCTCCCCAGCTTATAAACAAATCAAAAGCTCAGAGAGGAACAGAATTTTATTTCCAAGATATTTTGATTCGTTTCTCTTTTTTCCCTCACTTAGAATAATATAAAAATTGACTTTCTTTTACTTCATTTCTTTATTCATTTATTTATTCATCCATCCAAGGAATGTTTATTAAAAGCATGCTTCATGCATTGTATTAGGTGTTATGAAGCAAATGCAATATATAGTACCTGAAAGGAAGGAGCTGAAGATATTGATCTGGTGACCAAAGGGTTATACATTTTGGATAGATGCGAAAGAAGTTGTTCTAAGCAATAGAAATAGTGCCTAACTAGCTAGTAAATACTAGATAAGAATGAGAGATAGTGAGTAGGCTGTATAGTCTAATAGACTATTATTTAATCATTACTTTCAGTACATCATGGATTATGCTCAAGGCTTTATTTAATTATCTGATTTAAACTTTACACTATAATTTCAATTTAAAAGTATAAAACCATAGGCTCAGCAGGATTAAGCAATCTGTCCTAGGTCACAAAGGCAGAAAATGGAAGAAACAAGATTTACATCAGCTATTTGACTCCAAAGCTCCTTCTGTCACTATGTTCTAACATCATGTTATATGGTTTCCCAACAGTGGGAAGTGACAGCTGAAAGTTTAGTTGATGCTAAATTACAGAAGTCTTTGATGCCAGTGGGCTTAGGCCTTACATTGCAGGCACTAGAAAAACAACTGACATTTTTTGGAGTAGAGGAGTAATGGAGGCATGGGGGTTGGGGGAAGTGCGTGCATACACATACACACAAACCCAGTGCTTTAGAAAGAGGAATTTGGCAAAGGGTGCACAAAATGAGCCAGAAGGGGAGACTAGGTATTATAGAGGGAGTGCAAAAATTGATTCCCTCAAATATCTAGACACAGAGGCTAACACTGCCGTATTTATTCAGCCTGATCCCACATCATTCTCTACCTGTGTTCTCTGTCCCCATCCAAACCAACCTGCTTTTCACTATCCTGGCAGGAGCTAAGGTCCTTCCATTGAAGAATATTTGTACATGTCTTTTCAATTGGCAGGAATGACCTTTCCTCCATTCGATACCTTAATGCTTTCTCATTTTTTAGAACCTAAGATTTTGGTATAAATGTGACTACTTCCCTGGTGTTCCTGATTATGTCAAATGCCCTGTTAGAGACTCCCCCAGCACCATGTCCTTCTCCCCTTGGTAATTTTCATCACAGTGGCATTATCCATTTATGCAGGTGGTTATTTGATTTACAACTGCTTGCCCCACTAGAATATGCCCCCCTGGAAATAGGATCTGTGAGTGTAGGAGTCATGTCTGCTTTTGGTTATCATTGTATTCCCTGAGCCTACCACATTGCCTGGGACAGAGCAGACAACAACTCAGCGTATGTTGAATGAATGAGTGGATGAATAGACCCATATCTTGGACCAGAATGATAGCTGTGGAGATGAAGGGAAAGGTATGATGCAAGACCTGACAAAGGAACCTAGTAGCTATTTGGGATTGGGGAGGGGAGAAGAAGAGGCAGGGAGTGCCAAGGCAGTTGTCAGTGATGACTCTGTGGTTTCTCAAGCCTGGCTACTAGAACAATCAGAGACTGCAATAGTACTCTGTCCACTCACTATGTGTTAGGCTGTTCTTGCACTGCTGTAAAGAAATACCTGAGACTGGATAATTTATTTAAGAGGTTTAATTGGCTCACAGTTCTGCAGGCAGTACAGGAAGCATAGCACCAGCATCTGCTTCTGGGGAGGCCTCTGGAAGCTTATAATCATGGTGGGTAGTGAAGTGGGAGCAAGCATGTCACATGGCAAAAACAAGAGTGAGAGAGGGTGGTGGGGGAGGTGCCACATTTTATAACAACTAGATCTTATGAGAAGTCAGTCCCTATTGGAAGAACAGCACCAAGCCCTGAGGGATCTGCCCCCATGACCCACACACCTCCCACTAGGCCCCACCTTCAGCATTGGGGATTACAATTCAACATGAGATTTGGGTGGGAGCAAACATCCAAACTATATCACACTACCATCCCAGGTGAGTAGCCACCTGAAATTTTGATGCAGGAGGCAAAGAATCAGAAGCAGAAATGGGTGAGCAATTCAACCTAGAGCTTAAAAAAGCCCTTCATCAGAGAACATGTCACAAGATCAGCAGTGAGGAGAAGTTAAGACCCTGTCTGGAAACGTGCCTCAAGTGGACTATCAGTTTTCTTGTGTACTGAAATATCCGGCTGACCCTCAAACCATCTCAATAATGCTTCTGTGCTTTTCTTTACATTTGAGTAAAGCCTGATTTCTCTTCCTTATCCAAGAAAGATTTCATAATGTCAGTTTTTCCAGGTGGGAAGCAACTTTGGCATGGTGGAAAAAGCACTCCAATGATATCCTCCAAGACTCCATCAAATATTACCTTACTTAATCACCATGCCACTCTCCTGGTTCTCACTCACCGAGGTCTCTGAGTGTATATTACGTACATATTTGTCATTGTCATGGGTGCATTATTCCCCTTTTGTTCAAGTGTCTATTTCTTCTCTAGACTTTGAGCTCTTCAAGAGGAGTGACTTTGTTAAATTCATATAACTTGGGATTTAGAGAAGAGACTCTGGAGAAAAATTGCCTTGATTCAAATCCTGGCAATCCCATGCACTGACTGTGTGAGCTTGGACAAGTTATTTAATCTCTAGCCACATTTTAGTCTCCTTACTCGGTGAATGAGGATAATAGTAGCACCTACCTAACCGAGTTATTGTGAGAATTCTCATTCATTCATTCATAATTCATTCCACAGTTATTTATTAAGTTACTATCATATTCTTGGCCCTGTTCCAGATGCTAGAAATACAACCATAACCAGAACAAATAAGGTTCCTCTTCCTTTGGAGCTTACATTGCATAGGAGGGTAAAAGAATTACAACTAAACAAATAAATATGATAATTTCAGACAACAAGAAGTATGTCAGAGCTGGTGCATAGTGGCTCACAAGAGTGGACTGTGTATATCTCTTCCCAACTTCTCATTCAGTGACATCATGCTGATAGCTTGAACTATTGAATCAGCCATAGTAAAGGTCTTTACATCATGAAAATTGGCAAATGCTTGAAATCAGCACACTCCCCCTCCTCACCACACTCCCCCTCCTCACCACCACCCCATCAGACTCAGGTGTTAAGGATTTGACAGCACATCACTGTGTAGGATGACACTAAAACAGGTTTGTTAAGAGATAGTGACTATCTTATGATAGCGATAGTCACTATCTCTTAATGGGTGAGAATGGGGTGACTCACTTTCAAGAAATTGCTGAAAAAGATTTTGTGCTAAGACCTGAAATATGAGTAGCCAGAAATGAGGACGGGAAGAGGAATCTAGTCAGCATGGACAGGTGATTCAAAGGTCCAAAGGGGCAATAAGCCTGATTTATATTCCAAAAACAGTAACAATGAAAGCCACTGAGGCTGGAGCATAAGAAATGAGGACAGGGGCCGGGCACAGTGGCTCACACCTGTAATCCCAGCACTTTGGGAGGCCGAGGAGGGCGGATCACCTGAGGTCAGGATTTCACGACCAGCCTGACCAATATGGTGAAACCCTGTCTCTACTAAAAACACAAAAATTAGCTGGGCATGGTTGTGGGTGCCTGTAGTCCCAGCTACTTGGGAGGGTGAGACAGGAAAATTGCTTGGACCCGGGAGGTGGAGGTTGCAGTGAGCTGAGATCGCGACAGTGTACTCCAGCCTGGGCGACAGAGCAAGAGTCTGTCTCAAAAAAAAAAAAAAAAAAAAAAAAAAAGAGAGAGAGAAAGAAAAGAAAAATAAAGGGAGAGAAGAGAGAGAAATGAGGGGAGGGGGAAGGAAGTGAGGCCAGGTCAGAAAGGTCGGTCACATAGAGCTTTGGTGCCAAGGCACCTGCTGTTCCAACTTGCACTTGGAATAGCACTTTCAGCAGGAGAGACTACTTGAAGGACTTAGTGTGTACCCAGCACCTAAGAAGTGCTCAGTAAATGTTAGGCATTTCTGTTAATACTTACTTCATTGTTCCTGGCAGCTCGTGCACTGTTGAATAGGAGGTATTCAGTTAAGGTTTGTTGAATGATAAAATGAATGTATGATCACAAGGAAGACCCTTTCCTTTTCTGAGCTTTAGTTGCCTCATTAGAAAAATGAATTGTTTGTGAAAAAGTTCACCCAGGTTTCTTGTGTTCCCTATGCTTTTCCATTGTATTATCATGGACTGCAGACTGCTTTTGTTTAACCCAATCTGGTAGAGGTTACCACAGCCCTAACAGCTAATATTCTCAAACAAACATAAAATACCACATTGTAGTCATCTCATTTCAAAACATGACATTCCTGCCTTGTACAATGGCATAAAACATAACAGGCTTCATATTTCCATTCTCATCTGAAGGCAAGAAAGGTGGGAATAAAGGAGAGAGAGAAAAATATGCACTCCCTAAGGAGGCCATAAATATTGATGTCTTCCTCAGGGTCCCCTAGAGCTCTATCATTTGGGCAACTAGCTGATTAATAATAGATTAAACACTTTAGATTTGCTTACTTTGAGATCTGTGACTTTAAATGCATCTGCTGTGAGGGAGCCAGTTGAGACGGGGATCAACAGATTGTGCAGACTTCCAGCATAAAAACACAATGGGAGGGGACACAAATTGGGCACGACAACCAATATTTCCACTGAGTAACATCTCAAACACTGTGGGCAAGGCTTGGGTTGTCTTTCCAGATGTTAATTTATTTTCCTAAGAACCCACCCACATGCTAACCCAAGAGAGGATCGTGTTAATATATACCACATGTTAGTGTTCTGGGTAAGTGATGGATGAGGAAGGAAGTCTTCTCACACATATAACACAGAATTTCATCATAGTACCAGCCATCCGCCACAGTAATTTGGGGCAACATGAGTACAACTTGGAGGAAGCTGGGGTGCCTGTCCATGACTGCTGGAGTAGTCCAACTTGCCCCAAAACCATATCCTTTGGGATGGAGGCAGTTGATTTGACCAAAAGATCCACTAATGCCCCTCTAGTTACACTGGAGTAGTAAGTAGCCCCTTGGGGCAGACATGGACCACTGGAAATATTCACTTAAATGCTGGTCCTTGGAGACCAGTGAGAGCATCACCAGGTCCAGACTCCAAAAGGCAGCTTGGCACATTAGAAAGAATGTTGGGGGAATCATGATACTTGGTGCCCCAGTCTGGGTCATTGAGACTCTGAGTGACTCTGAGCTTGTCCCTTTCCCAGCCCTCAGTTTCTCTCACCTTTTCAGTGAAGGGCATGTGTATAAGAGCAATGTGTCTCAACACAATCACTGGTGGAGTTTTTTTAAAAAATACAGATTCCCATACCCCATGTCATGTCATGTTTTGGGTATCTCCTGAAAACAAAGTTTCAACTTACAGTACCTCAGAATGTGACCTTATTTGGAAATAGGGTCATTGTAGACATAAAAAGTTAGGATGTGGTCATACTGGAGTAGGGTGGACCTTAATACAATTTGATTGGTGTCCTTATAAGAAGAAAAGACACACAGACACACGAGGGGAAAGAGCCATGTGGTGACAGAGGAGGAAATTAAAGTGCAGGAGTTCTTTGACAGTTTCAAGTCAAGGATCACCCAGGATTGATGGCAACCACCAGAAGCTAGGAAGAGTCAAGGAAGGATTCTCACTTACAGGTTTTAGAGAGAGCACAGCCCTAGCAACACTTTCATTTCAGACTTCTATCCTTCAGAACTATGAGACCATGAGTTTCTGTTGTTTTAAGCCATCCTGCTTGTGGAATTTTGTTACAGAAACACTAGGAACCTAATATACTCCACTTCTAAAAGTCAGGGGACCCGGGTGCAGAGGCTCACACTTGCAGTCCCAGCACTTTGGGAGGCTGAGGCAGACGGATCACTTGAGCCCAGGAGTTCAAAATGAGTCTGGGCAACATGGCGAAGCCCCATCTGTACCAAAAATACTACAATTAGCTAAGTGTGGTGGCTCATGCCTGTAATCCCAGCACTTTGGGAGGCTGAGGTGGGAGAATTGCTTGAGGTCAGGAGTTTGAGATGAGGCTGGGCAACATGATGAAACCCCGTCTCTACCAAAAATACAAAAATTAGCTGGGCATGGTGGCACACCCCCTGTAGTCCTGGTTACTTGGGAGGCTCAGGTGGATGATTGCTGTGCCCAGGAGTTCAAGGCTATAGTGAGCTGTGATCGTGCCACTGAACTCCAGCCTGGGTGACAGAGTAAGATCTTATCTCTAACAAAAATAAACAAACAAATAAAAGTCAGGGGAAGGAGTGGGAAACGCATAGTTGTAAAAAGCTCTCCAGAAAATTCTGCTGTACACTTTGGTTTATGAACACTGAATTAAGTGCTCTCCCAACTCTGGAATTCTTTGATTCCAGACTCTAGCTTCTGGCACTGTAGATTCATCATGGAAATAGTGAATTTAAGAAAGATATGCTCTGGTAATAGAAAAAGAGGAGCTGTCCCCGTATTCAGGGGCAGAACGATGGAACCATGCTGTCAGTGAAAAAGAAGAAAGGTCTTCAAGGTGGTGCTGAGACATCTATCCTCTTTTAGGCTCGCTCCACATTCCCCAAACTAAGCTAATTAAAAGGAAAAATTGATGGGTGCTACCAATGGATCAAATATCTATTTGAAGTACTAATAAAAGCTATGAATCTTCTCCCCAGAAATATGCCAACACTTTCACAGGGCTCAAGACACCCTGATCCCCATTTGCTGACTTTCTAGGGATCCATGAACATTACCCTAAAACCCTTGAATGCTATAATTTGCCAAGGTCCCAGCATGGCCCAAAGGTGCTAACATAAAACCTTCAGAAACACAATGATGTCTACTCTTCTCTGGTCCTAACTTCTCCCTCTGTAAAAAGAGAGGATTGATTCATTCCTCCAACAAATATTCATTGGATAATAGATCTATTCTGTGCTACGGCACCTTTATTCTTCCATGCTAGAGATTCAGGAGACCATAAGAAAGAAAGGATCTCAGGCTGAGTGTGGTGGCTTACGCCTGTGATCCCAGCACTTTGGGAGGTTGAGGCACGTAGATCACATGAGACCAGGAGTTTGAGACCAGCCTGGCCAACATGGTGAAACCCCATCTCTACTTAAAATACAAAAATTAGCCGGGCGTGGTGACATGTGCCTGTAGTCTCAGCTACTTGGGAGGCTGAGGCAGGAGAATAGGTTGAACCTTGGAGGCAGGGAGCAGAGATTGCAGTGAGCGGAGATCATGCCACTGCACACCATCCTGGGTGACAGAACAACACCCTTCTAAAAAAAAAAAAAAAAGAGAAAAGAAAGAATCTCTCCTCTCATGGCATGGAATTAATAGGTAAACAAATCGATATGTGCTAAGAAGACATTACCAAAGGCAATGTAATGGAGATGTACAGAGGGGTAGGAGTGGGGCCAAAGGGGAAGGTCAGCGAAGTACTGACTGAAGAGATGGCTGAGCTGGGCTGAGACTCGATGTGAAGGAGGCAGGCAGGAAATATCTTAGAAAAGAGTGGTGCAGGCATGAAGAGCTTTAGAGCTTTAGTTAGGTATTTTAATAGTAGCTCCTAAGGTAGGAGAAAACTTGGCATATTTGAGCACAAATGAAGACCAGTGTGGCTCAAGCACAGTGAGCAAGGGGAGCTGTGTGTGAGGGGAGGTCAGAGAGGTCAGCAAAGGTCAGATCAGGCTACCATCCAGCTTGTGTTAGGCATTTGGATTCTATTCATGATGGAAAGCCATGATAGAATGTTTAAACAGTAGGCTGAGGTGATCTGATTTACATTTTAAGAGAGGAGTAAATGTTTAAGGTTCATTTGATGTGAACAGTTTAGAAGGAAATAGGCTTATAGTCCTTTCACCATTGCTGTCAATGTAACTAAATACAATACTGTGTTACTGTGACAAGTGATGATTTCTCACAGATGTGCAGGGAGGGCAAAAACGGGAGAGTAGGAAGCCGTCCGCATGCCAGACTTCGAAGTGAGCTGCTACGTAAGCCGCTGGGTTTCCTATGAAATGCATAAACTACCTTCGTTATTTCTAAAGGGTTATCTCTTGAAACATCTTTAGGAAAAAGCTGTCATAAGATGTCTTTCCAAACTCATACCCCATCTCGGCTGCTGCCCTATTAGAATGTTGACACGTGCAACATCAAAGTCAGAGACGTCCCACTGAGCAGCACTGCTAAGGTACCAGGATGCCTCTCTGAATACAGATAGCAGCAGGAACCTGAGCAGCAGACAGTGGCTCTCACCCACTCCATGCTCCTCTTCCTGAATCCAAATTTCAGCTTCTAATGAGATGTTGCAGCCTGAACTAGCTTCTCTGCAGCTGACCCCCCAGAAACTGGCACCAGAGTGTAATATTAATGAGATGAACATCCTGCATCTGAGTAGAATGTTACAAAATACAAAGTATCTTCTCATCCTTTATCCCAGAGGAACCTCATGTCCATTTTAGGACATGTACTGGATGGGTATTTTAAACCATTTCACCAAGAGAGAAGCTTAGCTCTAAGGCAGACACTTGATTAAGGCTACAAGGTTCACACTTGGGCATGAGCTTCCCAGCCTAATACTCATGTTCATCCAACTAAACTTGACTGCTTCTGAGCTACATCACTTTTTAGGCTCAAATTGGCCAAGATAATGTGTAAAGCTGCCCAATTTTAAAGAAGGTAAATGAACTTGAAGATTTACCTTGCCCAAATCCCTGAAGGGAGAGCAAGAGAGGGCTAGGGAAAAAGGCATGTCAGGCTCGAGGTCAGACCCAAGGTCACAGAGACCTCCCTTCCATTGCAAAGAAAAAATTATCAATTAACTGAAGAGTTCTCTTCCTACTGTGATTCCCTCTCTGGTAAGATGGTCCTCAGAGGGGACCACCTTGACTTCTACTGCATTATCTCCATCCACCTTAGTCACCAGCTACATATGAGGTTAAAAGACAGAGAGCTGAAGCATCAGTAGGTGCTTGAGCAGTTGGCAGAAAACTCACCTGCCCAAGTGGGCTCCTACTTGTGGTCCTCTGTTTCCCTGTATGTGACATGAGGGAAGAGGGCTAGGCTACATGGATCAAATATTTTCTAAAGTGTGAAAATGCTCCAGTTCCTAATTGTTTAATGTGAGGCTCAGGATCCTGTTTTTTTTTTTTTGTTTGTTTGTTTGTTTTTGTTTTTTCACAAGGCCCCGCAGGAGCTGAGGGGTCTTGATACAGAGTGCTGGCACAGGACTAGGGAGCTCTGTGACTTGGTTTCAACTCCTCTATCACTCACAGTGTGACCTTGAAGCAAACCACTTAAGCACTTCATGGCCATTTCTCCAATTGGAATACTCCTACTCTACCTCTGCATGTGAGTGTGAGCTAAATTAAAACAATAGATGAGAAAAACATGCTTTGAGAAAAGTAGCAAAGGACTGTATATACATACCCATGAGTATATATCTATATGCATTACTAAACATGTGTCATTCAAATTATCATCATTGTCAGTATTATTTTTCACAACTTCTTTATAAGTAACGGGGGGCCTATGACTAATGAGGACAAGCTCCCATCTACTCAGGTAAGAGAGTGAAGAAGTGCCCAGTTCTAACCAAAGACTTGCTGACTTGACTCTCAGCCTCACTCATCATATTATCTCTGGATATTTTTATTTCTTGAGGTTAAATAACACACTTGAGTCTGCTTGTTGTTTCCTAGCCCAAAAATAGAGAATACATTGGTGCTATGGAATAAAGGAACCAAATGCAAACTTCAATAAACAAATGAACATAAATATAAAGTATCTTTTATTAGCATAGGGTTTTCAAAGCATTTTATGGCCAGTTATCTTACCTGTTCCACACAAACTCCTGGAAAGGAGTCAGAGCTTTGGGGAAATGATGGTTATTGGTAATACTTTATACTTGCATGGCCCTTTACAGTTTATAAAGCATTTTCATATTGTTATGAAACAATTCAGTTCAAAATTTATCAAGCACAACTTGGAGCAAAGTATTATAATGAACATGATCTGACACTCAGACAACCTCTTGGAAGGACAATCAGTAGTTTAATCCTTGTTTTCAGGAGAGAAAAGGGAGTCACAAAGAAGTTCAGTGACTGGGCGAAATTCTTTTATTTATTTATTTATTTATTTTTGAGATGGAGTCTCCCTCTGTCACCCAGGCTGGAGTGCAATGGTGCTATCTCGGCTCACTGCAATCTCCACCTGGCGGGTTCAAGCAATTCTCCTGCCTCAGCCTCCCAAGTAGCTAGGACTACAGGTGCACGCCACCATGCCCAGCTAATTTTTTGTATTTTTAGTAAAGACGGGGTTTCACCATGCTGGCCAGGCTGGTCTCGAATTCCTGACCTCGTGATCCACCCGCCTTGGGCTCCCAAAGTGCTGGGATTACAGGCATGAGCCACCGCGGCCAGCCGACTGGACCAAATTCTTAAAACAGATGAGACCACATCCCTTTCTACTTGTGACCTTCCAGTGGCTTCTCATGCACTTAAAATAAAAGTCACTCTTCTTTTCATGGCCTGTCAAGCACTGCCTCATCTGTTACTTTCTCTGTTTTCCTGATTTAATCTTCTATCACTCTCTCCCTTGCCATAAACATTCCAGCTACCCTGGTTGTCCTTCCATTTTTCAAATCATTGCACAAATTATTCCCTTTTGGCTAGAATATTCTCCAAATTGTTTTGTAGCATGAATACCATCCAGCATTGAAATCTAGGCTTAAATGTCACTTTTACTCAGTAAGGGCATTCACTGACCCACTATTTAAACGAATACCTTCATGTTTCCTTCTCTCAGTGTATTGCTTTTTTCTTCAGAGAATCGTGTTTTCTTTCTCCTTTTCTTTTCTTTCTTTCTTCTTTCTTTCTTTTTTTTTTTTTTTTTTTTTTTTTGACAGAGTCTCTCTCTGCTGCTCAGGCTGGGGCGCAATGGTGTGATCTTGGCTCACTGCAACCTCTGCCTCCTAGGTTCAAGCGATTTTCATGTCTCAGCCTCCCGAGTAGCTAGAATTACAGGCACGCACCATGATGCTCAGCTAATTTTTGTATTTTTAGTAGAGACTGGGTTTTGTCATGTTGGCCAGGCTAGTCTCGAACTCCTGACCTTAGGTGATCTGCCTGCCTTGGCCTTCCGAAGTGCTGGGATTACAGGCGCGAGCCACTGTGCCTGGGGAATCTTTATCTTACAATTATCTTGCTTATTCAGTTGATTTATTTAATTTTTCTCTCTTACCCCACTTGAACTAAGGTCCATGAAGTCAGGTGTCTTGTCCCCCTTACTCACTACTGTGTTCTCACTGTCTGGCAAAGCCTGCCTCAGAGTAAGGAATCAATACATAATCAATGAATAAATAAGTTAAGTTTATAAGTTTTGAACTTGGGTCTTGAACTTAGGTCTTCTGACTTCTAGTTTTCTGGTCCTTCCTTTGTTCTGCATATTCTCCCTGCAAACCAAGCATTGATCCCTCTCAAATCCAGACTTTGGGATGGAAGTGAGCAAGGATTCTATTTTTCTCAACTAAAGGAGGAACTCCAAACACATTATCTACACAGGGTACAAAAGGGGACAGTATCTTATACAAGCAGCCATAGGGGTGAGGGCCTTGCTTCATGGAAATTGACCAGATTTTCTATATCACAAAATTACAACATACCATCTTGGTCCCTATCTCCATTTGACAGGCTCCAGGGCATCCCAGAGATAAATGATTGCAGGGCATGCCTGCTTTCTGTGCCTTGGGATCTCTGCTGAAGCTGGAGTTACCATAGAGGGAGAGAAAATGATAAAATACAGCAGATACTTAGAGCAGCTATCAATCCACTCAAGGCCCCTGTTTCTCCCATCCATCCATCCATCCATCCATCCATCCATCCATCCATCCATCCAACCATCCATCCATCCATCCATCCACCCATTCATCTACCCACTTATCCATCCATCCATCCATCCATTCATCCACTCATCCATCCATCCATCCATCCATCCATCCATCCATCCACCCATTCATCTACCCACTTATCCATCCATCCATCCATCCATCCATTCATCCACTCACCCATCCATCCATCCATCCATCCATCCATCCATCCATCCATCCATCCATCCATCCATCCAATATTTATTGAGAGCCTGCTACGTGTCAGGCAACATCTCTAAAGCTCTAGCAACTCATTCGTATAAAGAGTCCAACAATTATAACCTAAATTATTGCATCAGCTCACTGAGAGGGCCAACAGTGGCAATAAAACCTTCACACACTGTAAAGTCCAAAACACATAGAAGAGATTATGATCATTAGTATAACTTGGCAAGTGAAGAGCAAGAAGGAAGGGAACATAATATGATTAAAGCCTAAGCCTACTCATTTGGGGAATTATCTGGAGATAACCTTTAATTTTTTAACAATATATATATTTTAACAGAACTTTTAACAAAAGAGAAGAAAAGAGGTATCTGTGATGTGATTTATTTCAACAAGTAGGCCCACTCCTCCGCAGGGAAACAATTCAGGAAATGAAATTAGAAAAATAGAAAGGACTGTTGAATGAAGGTATCAAAGATTGGAATATTTCTTAAACTGAAGTAGAGAGCCCATAGCATTAGGACAATCAGAAACTGTCTCTGGATAGTGCAGGCTATTGCCTCCACTTCACTACCTTCTCATCTCTTCTCCCAGTGTTCAAAATACATCCTATTCTTCAAGGCTTAGCTGCTTTCCAACCTTCCCAAGGAAGCATTTCCTAATCTCCTTAGGATACTTATGTTTTTTCCTTTTCTCTAAGCTCTTAAAACATGTATAAACTAACCTCAGAAATTCATACTTAATTCTATGTGTTTTGTTTAGTTTTTCTCATTTAGTTCAAGTTAAGCTGTTCTACAGATACTGTCATTATCATCACTGTCTTAAAGATGGAGAAACTGAGGCTCACAGAAGTTAGATGGTGGATCAAGAATAGGTTACTAACAAGCGGTAGAAGTAGAAATAAAAACTAGGTATTCAGATTCCAGTTCTTAGGGTAGCATAACTACCTGTATCTTAATCAATATGTTGTCCTAATTTGAATTGGTAACAGTAGCTGGGGCTCAGGATGAATGTAATTCTTTTCCATGTCCTAGGGTTGTGTCTAAGAACCTGTTGTATACAAGGTCACACAAAGCATCCCAAATCCATCACTCCCTTGTCTAACTGCCAGCCTGGTGGGCTGGTGATCCTTACATCCAAGGAGAATTCTAACCTCAGTTCTGCCATTACACTGCAAAGAACCAGAGAACAGAGTGCACCTACAACTCTTTTGGGGAACATCAGAAAGTCTTTGGGTCCAGATCATGGGAAAGGCCACAGGAGACTTGGTTATACTGGATTTGGAATCAGTGGAGTTCTAGTCTAGCTGTGACTTCGAGTCCCAGTTCTGCCTGGGAAGGCAGGTGACTCTGGGAAAGCCCTGTTCCCTCTTTAGGTTTCAATCTCTGATTTGTAGCCTCATAGAGTTTTGAAAGCAAGGTCCTGCCTGCCAATGAAGTTCAATGATTTTTCACAGCCTTTAGGACTTCCTAAATTTTCATGAGTAAATTTCAAAAACCTGAAGTGCCGGATTGTGGGTCTGCTGAATTCGTTACCCTTTGGTGGTCCTAAAGATGGCAAACAACAACAGTGTACAAGTTATTCATTTCCCTACATAAGACTACCTAATTTGATTTCAGTTGAGGACCAAAAATCAGGCCACAAAGGGTTAAACAGGTAGGCAATGGACATTATGAGGCTTTCATGAGGACCACTCTTTAGTTCATCCAAGTATATTGTTCTTCTTTTTTTAAACAGCTCTCTCTCTCTCTCTCTCTCTCTTTCTCTCTTGATTTCCATGAAACCTCTGTGCTTAGCACTACTGAGCTAAGAAAGAGACCAAGAGACCATTGCAGGATCAAATGGAGTTTCCTTGTGATTTAGAAGCCTGAGATTGCCAGCTCAAAATCAACAAGAATTATCCATTTAATTTGAATTAGTGGGTTTTATGAGTCTGTTCTCTTTTTTATCAGTCAGGCATTTGAGCACAGCACAAACTATTTCTTTCTTTGTGGGTGTCTCTCCCTCTTAATCACTGTTTCAGTATTGTACAGGTAGAAATCTCATAGTTTGTCAAGGCTGAAAGGGACCTTAGGGATTATCTAGAGTATGCCCTAGGTTGTTCCGATGGGGAAACCGAGGCCAAGTATAGGGAAGAGATTTGTTCAAGGTCACCTATCTGAAAGAACTAGAACCCAGGTTTCTTCTCTCACTCCCATCTTTATTATAATAATTTCTCCTATATTACTTCTCCTTTGCTTTGCCTCAGACAAAAATTTTATTTACTACAGCTGCTTACCCTTTCATTCTACCAACAGATAATCAATAAAGCACTTCAGGGATTTCTATTACAACAGTATAATAATACTTAAATTAATCAGAAATCAGGTCATAATACTCTTACCTAAAATTACTTCTCTAATTAGCTTTAAGTAGAAATAGACAATCTCTTTCCTCCCCTTCCTCCCTTCCTCTTGTTTTTCACACACAAGCTATAAAGACTTTTTTGCATTAAAGTTAAAAAGAGGCTTATATTTTTCCTATTCTCTTGAACAAAGATAATGATTATTAAAACAAAAAACCCTTACCTATATCTCCAGGCACTCTAATTCAGTTACCAGCCACTGAACACTTCAAAAAAATAAACAACAGGATATTTATTGTTGTTACTATTAATAATAACAACAGAAACAACCACCAACTAGAATGTATATGTCACAGCTTACCAAGCTCTCTCTCTCCATATAATAATAATGTCTAGCAGGTATTACTATAGTAACACCCTTGCTGATGAAGTAACTGAGTCTCTAAGAGATTAAACAACTGACTCTAAATCATTAAACTACCAAAATAACAGTGCTGAAATTGAAGTTGAAGTCTCCCATTTCCAGACCCCAGTTACTTATCACTGTGTTGCCTCTCTGCACATCACTTGTTCTTGAATGTTTTTATTTTAAGGCAGCTTGGTAGTTGGTGAGTACTCTGGTCCTAGAAGGAGGGGACTTGAGTTTTAGGCCCCTTGCCAGCTAGGTGACTTCTTCTTCCCCTAATCACCCAGCTTATACTTTGGATGCTTCAGTTATAGACTCACAGAAGGTTGGACTGGGACAGAGCCTTTAGTCTTGCTAATTCCGTGCCAGGCCTCACGAGCATTTGGCATGCAGCCACACAGTAAGAGCAATTCTCATGCTATGTGGTCACATGTGTTACCTGTCTCCTCCATTACCTTTGGGATCTCTTGAGTACAGAAAATGTGTCTTATTCACCTTTATATATTTGCTCCCTGGAAATAGAGCCTGGCACTTAGTAGGTCCTCCAAATATGTTTACAAAATGAATAAAAACTCCCGTCCAGCACTCTCAGTTGACATGAGAGATGACTTGCCTAAAATCTCACAGCCAGCTGGTAGCAGAATTGGAACTAGATCCCTCACCCCTGGACACTCCTTTTGGTATCTTTCCACATATCAAAATGATGATGATAATACTGTTACTAATAATGATTGCAGCCAACATGTATCAGATGCTGACTACATATTGGAAACTGTGGGAAGTGCTTTCTGAGAATCATCCGACTTAATCATCCCAACAATTCTAGTAGGTGAGTTGTATTTTTATTCCCATTTCCCAAGTGAGAAAACTGATATATATCACTAGAAAGATAAGAAAATTGTGTTAGGTTAAAATCAGCTTGAGATTTCTCCTCACCTTGTAAATGTCCTCCAGGCAGGCCCCTAGCCCAACATAAAATATAAAAGCCAGTACCAGGACAAAGGCCAGAAAGGCTTCTTCCTGTATAAAATAAGACAGACTTTCCTGGCACCCTCAACAATACATGTCCTGGCCAAGAAATCACAAATGAGGAGATGTGCTCATTAGCCACCAGCTTCAGACCTCTTAGGACTCCTTTATTTGGGTTGTCACTCAACGTGGCCCTATTTTGCCCAGTCCTTTTGTGAGCATCTCCTGCTGATGCTTATTTGTTTATCTGAAAGGCCAGACTCTCTGGGATAGGCTCATTAAGAAGACATTCCCATTCACAAGGGCCCAGGAGAATAGCAGAGATGCAATATTTCTCGCATGCCTCCCTCTTCCCATGCCAACGCCACAATAGAATGCGCTCAGCCTAGAGCCAATGAAAATTCAAGTATGCACAAAATGTGCTCTGCTGGAACACAGCTTTGAAGAAGAAGCAGCCTCTTCAAAGCTCTGGGCATTCTCTCACCTTCACCGCGTAGTCGTCCCCTGAGCTTTGCATCTCACAATCATCCTCCTTCTTTGGATCTGATCAGTACCATGAAATCATGCAATAAGGGTAATATAGCCAGAGGCATTTCCAGCCAGGAAGAACTGTGGAGATGACTGAGACTATGCCTGTCAACACCCTGGCACTTTTGCCAGCCAATCCCTGATCTCCCATCCACGGCTGACAGCTCTAATCAATTGTGGCATTCTTCCCAGCTGAACTTGGATGATGTCTCAGAATCTGTCTCAAAAAAGCACTCTGGGCAGAAGAGAAAAACTTATCTAAAGGTAAAGTAACTCTCTCCTTCAGGATGAATGCACAGGAGGTGCTAGAAAATGTGCCTCCCGCTTGCCACTCCACTTCTCCTTCTGCCACAACACCTTTCTTGATGGTGTACTCTTTGCGGGTCATCTCATATGAGCAGGTCCTAATATCACCATCAGATTCCAGCTTCCTGAGAGTAGGGCCCACACCATTTGCTGATTTTCTGGGTACTCATCAAGCTGTGGGGTACACATGCTGCTTAGTTGACAATGGAAGTGAATAAACCTCATACCCCAAGTGTGTGACAGAGATACTTGAACATTTCAAAAA
This sequence comes from Homo sapiens, assembly GCF_000001405.40. Lineage (NCBI taxonomy): Eukaryota > Metazoa > Chordata > Mammalia > Primates > Hominidae > Homo > Homo sapiens. The sequence goes on along the minus strand of NC_000005.10, from coordinate 153,572,140 downwards.
GGATTTATAGGAGCCACCTTGGATTAAACAATCGTATATTACACAACCATTCTCTGATGAAATATATTAGACAACCACTAGAGCACTTAGAATATTTTGAGGTGCCTTATTGGACACTATCTAAGGGTAACCAGTTATGGGAAGTCTAAAAGGCTCTTATATGACTTAGTTTCTCACTTAAAATGGCATGGCAACTTCTTAAGTTTTCCTACCAAGGTAGCCTAAAAGCAAGGGAAAATGAAGGCAGGAAATGAAGGCCTCTGGGGACCTGAGGCATGGGTCAACAGCCCATGGGAAGCAAGATATAACTTTGGAATATAATGTTTTATCTCTAAAATTCATTTTGGCTTGGGTCCTATTCCAAAATATAGCAATGCTCATTTTAATAAAATAATATGCTTTCTCTAAAATTTATATGTAAATTTGATGGTGTTAGGAGAAGTATCATATTTATCCCATGTTTATCTTAGGGATAAATATGAAGTTACGGCTTCATGTATTTCTTAGTCCAAAGGTCAGAAAACTATGGCTCATGGGCCAAGTCTAGCCCACCACCTGATTTTGTACGACTCATGTATAGTTTTAACATTTTTAGGTGGTTGAATAAAAATTTTAAAAAGATTACTTAGTGACACATGAAAATTATATGAAATTCAAATTTCAGGGCCCATAAATAGTTTTGCTGGAACATGTTCATTTATGTGTTGTCTTTGGCTGCTTTCAAGCTACATGGCAGAGTTTAGTAGTTGGGACAGACAGTGCCTAAAATATTTGCTACTTGGGGCCTTTACAGAAAAAAAATTCCCCACTCCTGTCTGCCTGCCTGTCACTGGCTACCCCGTGAGCCTACATGTCCCCATCATGGACAAATGTACTGTGTAATTAGTGACTCTCAACTGGGGGCAAGTGCCCCCAGTCGGCAAATATCTGGATATAGTTTTGGTCATCAGAACTTGGAGGAGGTTGGTTTGCTGCTGGCATCTTATAATGGATAGAGGCCAAGGATACTGATGAACATCCTCCATTGTGCAGGACAGCCCCCCAAAACAAAGACTAACCCTGTGCAAAACATAGGTAGTGCTAACGTTGAGAATCGCTGGAGTAAACCATGTAGTGTGAGGACTGGTTCCCTGCTCCATCCTGCATTTCTTTCCTCATCTCAATCAGATACAAATGGACTTTTGATATTAGTAATCCAGAAGGAATTACTCATTCAGGCCTGAGAGAAGGACATTCTGAATATCTATAGTGAACAAGGGGGACTCCTTATTCTATTTGACTATAGGAATTATTAATAAATAATAGTAATACTAGTACTCAATTGTTATGAAGCACTTACTATGTGCCAGGCATTGAGCTAAATATTTTAAATTTATCCTCTCATTTAGTCATCATTTTGGCCTTGTAAGTACCATTATGACTTCCATTTTACAGATGAGAAAACCGAGGCTTGGAGAAGATAAGGCGCCAGAGGTCACAAAGCTACTAAGTTAATTTTCAGAAGGATATCAGAAATTTATCTGCTTACCATTATGCCATGAACTTCCTAGAATACTCAGACTCTTCATTTCTCTGTTTTAATGTAGGAAAAAAAATTGTCTATTCTGAAACCTCAGCAAGAAAATAATTGCCACCTCAAAAGCCTAGCCTTTAAGACACTATCCTTAGCACAGATGTCCTTTGCTATAAAATGGAATGCTTTGTAAACTCAAATGGATTGAGCCATTTTGAAGTTGGTGGCTGAGCAACACTGTTTGATAGCTGTATGATCCAGGTTTGAGAGACTTCTTGTAGGACATACATGAGCCTGTTGACTCACTGAGATGTTAAAGCCAATTAGCATCTAAATAGGTTTATTATTTCTCTCCCAGATATAATCAGAATTGAAGAACCATTGCCAAAGGGATAACTTTGCAGAGAAAGTAGATAGGTGCTTGAAGCAATGCATCTCGGGGATAGAGAATATTGCTCTCGGTTTTGGCAAGCCTAGCTTAGAACAGAAACAGAAAATATTTGCCTTTTCATGAATCAGTGTGGATTATCTGATGGGCCATTGCTGACAGTGGGTAAGAGTGTGAACAACAGGAAAAGACCATCTGGTTTAAATCCTAATGTTGTCTATTTTTAATAATTAGTAAGGTAAGGCTGCACTGAGCCTATTAACCGAATAGTAACCTAAGGTTCATAAAGCCTCAACCTTAGCTCTGGTTGCAGCTCTGATAACACATTTGTGAACTTGGGAAAGTTAGATCACTTTTCTGGGCCTCTGCTTCCCCAGTTGTAAAATGAGAATGATGGCACTTTTCCTCTGCACCTCTTTAGGTTTATGAGGTCCGTAAGAGCTAATATATACACAGAAAAGGCTGTAAGTAGTTATGCCTATCTGCAGGAATCTTAATAGTTCAATGCCCAGGAATAGGAAACCCAAACCATATACAAAAACCTACAACACACTGAGCCAAGTTACCAGCAGATGCTCTTGCCAACAACCTTAAGAAAGAAGTACTAAGCAAACACAAAAATGTAACAAAATACAGAATTCAGGTCAATGTTATTATCATTTTATATCTGGGCTATCCCAGGTTCAGGCGGGCCAGGCTCAATCGGGGCTTTTTGCCCCATACAGCTGCTCAGCAGCAGGGAGGGATACCTATTGTTCTGACACCCGGAACAGAGCTTGGTCCCACAGAATACAGTGGTTCTTGAAATAAAGATTCACAATTTTATTTGGCCTGAAATTCTGGACTGCATCCATTGCCTACCACCCAGCTGATCTGAGACTGCTTACCCATGGCTGGCTTTATAAACAATGCTGTTTACACAATTGCTGAACTGTAGCATAGACCCTTAGAGAAAATAAATTAGTAGAAACGAAGTGCTTGTAAATCTGGGCATTACTCCACAACTTCAGATTCAAAGGCAAAATATTTACTGATTACCTACTACATGCTTAGTGCCTTACTAAGCATTAGAGTGGGAGCAGACAAAGATGTGGCCTCTGTTCTCCATGAACTACAATTTAGTTATGAAGACCTGTGCTTGTGCCTGAAATTATAATGCTATCAGACCCCCCCACCAAAAAATAATTGGTACAGGCAACAAGTGCCGTAGAACCTGGGTAGGCAACTGGGTAGATTTGACATCACTGATGGAAGTGGGATTTCAGCAGAGCCTTGAAGGCAGTAGAAAGGATGGGAAAGGGCATTCCAGGGTGTGAACAAAGACATGGACTTAAAGACATACACACAACAGATTCTCTGGGAAACGTGTTTGGAGTTTTGATATAGAAGGCCTTCAAAGTCAGAGTTGGAAATGTGAATTTTACTCTGAAGACAAGAAAAAGCCATATGAAGTTTGAGATTCGGAGAGCTCTAGGCAATGAAGGGCATGAAGGGAGGAAGGCATAAATTTTGATATGGCTATAATAAGCTAGGTACAAATTAGTGAGGGTAAAGACAAAGGTGGTGGCTGCAGAAATGAAAGGAAAGAATGTATGCTGTTATTAAGGAAGACTACATAGGACTTTGTGAGTGAAGAATTGCTGTGAGCCAAAGAAAGAAAGGAATAAAAAAGATGTTATAATGAGAGCTTAATGATGACACCATCATTAGTCTTCTGACTCAGTAAAAGCCCATTAAAAAAAACCATTTGAATCACTCGACTGTTTCTGATGATATTTTGATAAACTAGATCAGTGCTTCTCAAGCTTTAACATGCATACTAATTAACTAGGGACTATCAAGGCACAGATTTTAATTCAGTAGGTTTGAGGTGGGCCTGAGATTCTGCATTTCTAACAAGTTTCCAGGTGATGCTGATGCTGCTGGTCTGTGAAGCAGATTTGGATTAGCTTCTTGCTAAAGTTCATCTTCTTTGATTTTCATGCCAAATGCTAAGTACTATATTAGGAATTCTTAAACAAGGTGGATTCAGGGAAAGGTCAGTTAGAGTAACGGCCAATTGCAATCCTACAGTTAATAAATGTAGACTGCTTCGTCACCCGTGTTTAATAGAAAGACCTATAGCTTACTAGCCTGGAGACTTGGGTTTTAGTCCTAGCTCTATCACTCTCTGATTGTGGATCCTTGAGCAAAAACAACAACAAAAACCCACAAAAACTCAAAATAAAATAAAGTGGGACAAAACCCCAAATCTACAGCTTATTTCCTATATTTGAGAGCACCCATTTATCCCTGACTTACTGGCTTCCAATTATACTGTACTCGGAATAATTCCAAATTTCTTATTACTGTCTACTAGATCCTTCATAATCTGACCCCAGCCTACCTCTCTATTTTTATCTCCTACTATTCTTTCCCTTATTCACCACACTGTCACTCTAAAGCCTTGTTTCTATTCTCAAACACATCAAGTGCATCCCCACCTTGCTTCTGCACTTATTTACCATCTATCTTGAATGCTTTTGCTCCACTGCTTCCCATAAGGTGGACTCTGTCTTCAGGTCATCACTCGGAGATGCCTTTCTCAACTATTAATCTGAGTGGTTCTCAATTGAGAGTGATTTTTCTCTCTGACATTTGGCAGTGTCTGTAGATATTTTGTACGATTATAGCAAGTGAGGGAGGTACTAATGGTACCTAGTGGGTAGAGGTCAGAGATCCTGCTACAGATATCCTTACACAGGCAGCTGTCCTTGCATTGTAGGATATTTGCACAGGACAGCTACAACACAACAAAGAATTATCTGGCCCCAAATGCCAACAGTGTGAATCTACCTAAAGCTGCCTCCCCACCCTGGACACACGCCTCATAAAAATTTTCCACTTCATTATCTCACTTCATTTTCTTAAACATATTTATCATTGTCTGAAATCTTTGATTTATTTGTTTATCATCTGCCTTTCTTGAGTGGAATATTAGTTTCAGGAGAGCAAGGACATTGTTCTATCCTATTCACTGACATATCACCAGTGTCTAGAAAAGTTCCTGACACATAATGGACACTCAAGGCATAAATGAATGAAAGCAGAAGTGAGTACTGCACATAAAATGAAACAAATAAACAAGCTAAACAACAACAACAAAAAAGATCTAAAACTGTGCTGCAAATGATACCATAAAGAAGGCTAATAGGTAACCCATAGAATAAAAGACAATATTTGTGGCCAGGCACGGTGGCTCATGCCTGTAATCCCAGCACTTTGGGAGGCCGAGGCGGGTGGATCACCCGAGGTCAGGAGTTTGAGACCAGCCTGGCCAATATGGTGAAGCCCCGTCTCTATCAAAAATACAAAAATTAGCTGGGCGTGGTGGTGCACACCTGTAATCCCAGCTACTCAGGAGGCTGAGGCAGGAGAATCGCTTGAACCCAGGAGGCGGAGGTTGCAGTAAGCCGAGATTGTGCCATTGCACTCCAACCTGGGCGACAAGAGCAAAACTCCGTCTCAAAAAAAAAAAAAAAAAGACAATATTTGCAAATGTATATCTGATAAGCAGCTTATAACTAGAATACGTTAAAACATTCTTACAATTCAATAATATAAGACAAACAACCAAATTAAAAAATGGACAAGAGGCTGGGCATGGTGGTTCACATCTGTAATCCCAGCACTTTGGGAGGTCGAGGCAGGCAGATCACCTGAGGTCAGGAGTTCGAGACCAACCTGGCCAACATGGTGAAACCCCATCTCTACTAAAAATGCAAAAAAATTAGCTTGGCATGGTGGATGCCTGTAATCCCAGCTACTTGGGAGTCTAAGGCAAGGGAATCGCTTGAACCCAGGAGGCGGAGGTTGCAGTGAGCCAAGATCGCACCACTCCACTGCAGCCTGGGTGACAAGAGTGAGACTCTGTCTCTGGAAAAAAAAAAAAAAAAGGCAGGGAATTGGAGAGCTATTTCTCCAAAGAAGATATACAAAATAACCAATAGGAAATAAAAAAGATGTTCAACACCCATCAGTCGTTACAAAATGTAAATCAAAACCACAATGAGATACCACTTCATACCCACAGAATGACTATAATGAAAAAGACAGACAATAACAAGTGTTGGTAAGGATGTGGAGAAATTGAAACCCTCATATATTGCTGGTGAGAATGTAAACTGGTGCAATCACTTTGGAAAACAGTTTGGCAGTTCCTCAAAAGGCTAAACATAGAGTTACTACATAACACAGCAATTTCACCACTAGGTACACACTCAAGAAAAATGAAAACATATGGCCACATGACAACTTGTAAAAGAATTTCCATAGCAGCATTAGTCATAGTAGTCAAAAAGTAAAAACAACTCAAATGTCTATCAACTAATAAATGGATAAACAAAATATGGTATATCCATAAAATGAAATACTATAGTCCTATAATATTTCATTTTATGGATATACCATAAAGGGATGAAGCACTGATACATGCTAAGACATGAATGAACCTTGAAAACATTATGCTAAGTGAAAGAGGCCAGTCACAAAGGACCACAAATAGTATGATTTCATATATAGAAAATGGTCAGAATAGGCAAATCTACAGAAATAGAAGGTAGATTCATGGTTGCTTAGAACCTGATGGTGGGAGGGTGCTGGGGAATGACAGCTAATGGGTACTGGGCTACTTTTGCAAGAGAGAAATGTTTTAAAATTAGATTATGGCGATGAATGTATATATCTGTGAATATACTAAAAAATACTGAACTGAACACTTTAAATGGGTGAATGATATGGTATGTGACACATCTCAATAAAGCCATTAAAAGAAAAAACAGCTATAGAAATTGCTATTTTACTTTTTTGGGAAAGGTGACAATTGCTTAGAAACACAGATTTATTGAAGCACTTTTCTTTGTTTAGTGTAGATTTTAGTTGAAGGTGGCTTTGGAAGTATAACGACATGGGAGATCAAAGGTAAGTCTCACAGATATGTTAGATAATGTGATAAGAATACCTGAACCAAAAGACTTTCTTATACGATCACAGGTATTACATAAGTCCGCCATAGAAGTACTCCCTGAAACTAAAATAGGTGAATGTATGAGAGTAAATAACAGCTCCACTTCTTTAAAATAAACCTTTTTAGCAGTAGTTTACATATATGGGTGACTGAGAGGTTTCCATATCCTCTAAGTTCTAATCCAAAGGGGGGAAAATTAAAATTATAACTTTGGGTTGTTGTGAGAATTAAATGAAATTACACTTGTAAAAATTCTTGGGCAAAGGAGGTGCTCAGGTAATGTTAATTTGGCAGTACTGGTGAACCTAGAATGAAGAAGAGGCTGATGCATAATTTATCACTAAGCTACTACTTTCTGACATATTCATTCCCATACAAAATACACAGATCTGACAAGGAGAGGAGGCTACAGATTTTGTCTGTTGGTTCTGTGAAGCAGGGTTAGACAAACATGGCAACCTTTGGAATTCTTTACTCTCTCTCTCTCTGTCTTCATCCTGGCCATTCATCTTCCATTGTTGACATAGCTTTCCATGAGTGGTCTCTGCCATGACTTTATCTAGGCCAATCCTTAAGACCCAGTCACCATGTTGTGAGGAAGTTCAGGCCCAATGCAGAGGCCTTGTGTAAGTGTTGCAGCTGACAGCTCCAACACAGCTCACATGAGTAAATAAGTCTTTAGATGATTTCAGTTTAGTTTTCAGGTCTTCCATCCTTCTCCATTGTGCTCCATGTGAATTCTTGGCCCAGGGATCCATAAGAGATAATAAACAAAGATTGTTGTAGAAAGTCACCGAGTTTGGGGGCAATTTGTTATGCAGCAACAGGTAAATAATACACAAAAATCTGTCTGATTCCAAATACCAGGTTCTTAATCTCTATGCTGTGATGGCAGACACAGACAAACAAAAACTTCTTACCAGCATTTGGACCCCCATGAAGTCTTCCCTCTGGGAAGGGCTGCACCATCTGAAGACTCCAGGGCCCAGTCCATATGACTGAATATTTACCCTGGCAAACAGATGCTGCTCCAATAACAGTTTATAGGGCAATCTCTCAAGGGTTCAGTTGGCCTGATGTTGGCACCTTGAATCTAATCATTTCTGAAGCATTGGCAAGGCTGGGACTCTAGACTTGCCCAAGAGGAGGTCCCTGAATTGTGCAGAGGTCACACCTTGATTTCAGCACACCCTTCAACAAGCGGTTATGATTTATACAACATATCCCAAATAGCTCCTCAACTTAATTGTTCAAAACCCAGCAGCCTAAGTTTCTGTCTGTAAAAGCAAGGAACATGGCACTTTACAAATGTAAAATCTTATTATTTAACATTTCATGTCCTCAACAATACTACTCATAGTAGACTGCCTCCATACCCCCTGCCCAAACCAAGACACTAATGAAAAGAGAACAATTTGAGATGAAAGGGCCTTTCTGCAACCCAGACATTTGTTTCCCTTGAAGGGGAAGAGAAAGGACAGAAAGGGGGAAGTAGGTATTTGACAACAGACCTCTTTGATACGATGCTCCTTCTTCAAGATTGACTGACTGTACATTCCAGAGAAAATAGATGTTTTTGATCTGCTCCACAACCAATATTACACATATTTGATGGAAAGCATACACTGTCAGTGGGAGGTGGAAGCAGCAGAGAACAATGAGAAGTTATAGTTTCATGTTGTTTAATTTTTTTCCCAAACTATTCAAGGCCTCTGAGCCATAGACTAACCTGAGTTCCTCCTTCTATCTTCCATCCTTTACCCTCTTTGAGGCAAAGAAAAGAAAGTCTTGTAAGGGGAAGTAAAAAAGGAAGAAAAGAAAAGAACAGTTGTTTCTGAACACTTAGAGAACGAAACAATTGGTGTCTTCCATATCTCTGAGGGCTAAGCTCCATTATCTCACATCAGAATCAGAACGTGGGGCTCGTGGGCTGGAAAATAACTCTCAGAGGGCACAAAACCAAATACTGTCTCAGTGACTGACTTAAAAGGGAAAAGGCAAAGCTCCACTTTTAGGAAGAAAACAGCAACAAAAGCAAGAAGGTTTTTTTTTTTTTTTTTGAGACAGAGTCTCGCTCTGTCGCCAATCTGGGGTGCAGTGGCACAGTCTTGGCTCACTACAACCTCTGCCTCCCAGGTTCAAGTGATTCTTCTGCCTCAGCCTCCCAAGGAGCTGGGATTACAGGCGCCTGCCACCATGCCCAGCTAATTTTTCTATTTTTAGTAGAGACGGGGTTTCACCATGTTGGCCGGGATGGTCTCAATCTCTTGATCTCGTGATCCACACGCCTCAGCCTCCCAAAGTGCTGGGATTACAGGCATGAGCCACCGTGCCTGGCCGCAAGCAGGATTTCAAATCATTAAATTGTATATACTTTGGAAAGTACTCTTTTAAGAAATTGTAAATGGAGAAGTATGAAAGTAACAAAAGTCCTAGTCATATGTGTGTCCAATAATGACACCTTGAGATATTTTAATATCTCCTCATCTCAGTTGCCTCAGGAGTCAAGTGGAGATTCAATCATTCACTCACTCACTCACTTACTCACTCATTCACTTGTTGGATATGCAAAAATCAAGTAATCAAGCATCACAAACAGTCTTTGCCTTCAGTAATCGCACAGTCAATATTTCTCTCGTCTAGTCACAAGGTTATTCTGAGAATCCTATGGACTACAAAGACATGCATGAATTTCCAATGAATGAATGAAGCTGAGTAAGGAACCATTATTAAAGTACTATGACTGATAGAGAATGCATCTTGCAAGACCTGTTAAGTCTTGAGCATTCCATAAAGGCTGACTCAGAGGTCACAGATTCTCCTTCCCCATTCAAAGCCAAAATAGGTCGTGCTAATTGGACACAACAGTGTGTTGGGTCAGGCTTGTCATGAACTGCCCTCCCTCCACCCCCACTCCAAGTCTCACATCCTGTAACTCCCTCATATGCACCCCAGACATAATGGGTATAGATGGCCTGCTAAATCTTTTTGGAGCATAGCTCTGCTCATGACACTTCCCTTAACTTGGTTCTCATAGTTATCCCCCAATGCATCTTTCCACCCTCACCTCCATTTAGGTACACAGCAATCAGCCAAAATGCTCTATTCACCATTCGTAGTTGTTCTCAAATGAACTTGGTTCTCAAATGAACTTGGTTCTCAAAGTCTTACCCCCCAATGCATCTTTCCACCCTCATCTCCATTTAGGTACACAGCAATCAGCCAAAATGCTCTATTCACCATTCATAGTTGTTATCAGTGTTCTATCGCTTTGCTTTAACTCAGCTGTTTCTTCTATTGGAATCCCCTTTTGATCCAAAATTCCCACATACACAGTCTCCTTTCAAGTTCAAGTTTAAATTTTCAGGTTTTACATTTATCCTCACACTACCCTCCACTGTCTTCCTGGTGGAAGTGATTGCCCCCTCCTTTGAACCACTATAGCACTTTGCATATACCTCTCTCTTGGCAAATAATGGTGGTGATGGTGATGATGGTAAGAATAATACAATTCTCCTATACTGAGACTTATAATGTGCTAGGCATTCTGATAAATAAACAACATGAATTAACTTTTTAATTCTTGCAACTGCTTTAAGCCAAGGTAAAAGCTTTTTTTCCCCCATTTCTTAGAGAAAATGGAAGCTTAATACAGTTAAGTAATAAACTTGAGTTCCCATATAGTAACTAGCAGTTACATGGACGGGGTTTGACATCACAGACACTTGTCCAGGCTCTACAAGTTACAGCTTCCTGACCCTTGCCAAGAACTGACCCAGTGGTAGCCTCAGTTTGCTTATCTGTGTAGCTAGCTAATTGGGCACAGCACTATGTTGGGTCAGGCTTGTCATGAACTGTCCTCCTCTCAACCCCCACTCCAAGTCTCACATCCTTGAGTACGGGTCCAGGCTGTACAAGTTACCAGTTTCATGACCCTGGCCAAGAACTGACTCAGCGGAATCAGAGAATCAGATTCTGAGTCCAATTCTCTGATTTATTTATTTAAATGGCACAGAGAAGATACTAGAGAGACTGTAGCTATCATGACCCCCGACTAGAAAAGCTGCTCCAGGGCCAGGATCTGATGTGGACTCTTGATCCCTTCCCCACGTTTACTAAATGCCATTGAATAAAACAAGGCCACTGAGAATCCTTTACTCCAATGCTGTCTTGAAGACATGTATCATGAAGAAACCTGTACTGTTGAGGAGAAAGAAGTTACATAAATACAGGAATCAACCTAAAAAAAATCCCTGCTCCTTTGTCTCAGATCTACCCTTCTCACTTTGCTAAGAAAGGTTCAGCCTGAAGCTTTGACTTGTGACTCTGTCCTTTCCATACAGGTAGGAGTCTATTGTTTTGCTGCTCTGGTTTAATTACTCTCAAGGAGGCTTCTCCAAAACTCATCTTAGTGGTACATAATTTCCCAGCTGAATATTGGAGAACCTCAAAACCAAAGGCCCATAGCTTATGCCCAAAGCCTCTGTATTAGACTAGTCTGTTGTCATGCTGCTAATAAAAGCACACCCAAGACTGAGTAGTTTATAAAGAAAAAGAGGTTAAATAGACTCACAGTTGCACACAGCTAGGGAGGCCTCACAATCATGGTAGAAGAGCAAAGGCACTTCTTACATGGTGGCAGGCAAGAAAGCATGTGCAGGGGAACTGCCCTTTATAAAACCATCAGATCTCATGAGACTTATTCACTGTCACGAGGACAGCACGGAAAAACACACACCCATGATTTAATTACCTCCCACCTGGTCCCTCCCTTGACACGTGGGGGTTATGGGAGCTACAATTCAAGATGAGATTTGATATAGCCACACCATATCAGCCTCCATGGTACCTTCCAAAAGCACATCCAGTCCTGTGTGGGTGCTGATAAGTTCCTGAAAAGTTATCTAGAAGGAGATGACAATTTAGAAACCTAAGTCCATAACCCAGAGCAAAGAGCTCTGTAAGTCATTAATATTCTATAAAAAGCCATTATGAGATTTCAGCTAAAATAATCCAACAGAACTCTTGGCACACTGTTCCTACATCCTTTATTTCATGACCACCCACTAAGGTCTAGCAGGGCAGGAAGTCAGGAGTTGGTCAATAGCATGGAATCCAGAGCCAAGTTTCCGTGGATTTTCCCCAGCTTTTCCATTTACAAACTATGCAAACTTGGGCAAGGCATGTAAGTCTCTGTGCCTTGGTTTTCTAGTCTTCAAAATGATGACCTCTATTTCAGAGTAAACTTTGTAAACAGCAAACTTTGTAGGATAAAGCCAAATGGAAGGAGGCAATAGGGTGTGTCAGAAGGATAACAGATAGGTGAGTGGGGTTGGAGTGCACAAAGGAGTGAACTCAAGGAAGTAGGAGCTGGGTAGGTAGGCAAAAGTCAGGCAATTTTTTTTTGTATAAAATTATACCAAAATATAGTCATGTACCATGTAATGATGTTTTGGTTAACAATGACCTGCTTATATGATGGTGGTCCCATAAGATTATAATAGAGCTGAAAAATTCCTATTGTCTAGTAATATCTCTGCCATGGTAATGTTGTAACACAATGCATTACTAATGTGTTTGTGTTGATGCTGGTTTAAAGAAACCTACTGTGCTGCCAGTTGCATATAAAAGTATAGCACATACAGTCATGTACAGTGCATGATACTTGATAATAAGCAGCTATATTATGGTTTATATATTTATTACACATGTAGAGAGATCACAAGATCTCTAAGGCCTTGAGTCCTTGTCCCCAAAAACATTGAAAAGCTAGTCAAGGTTTTAAGCAAGAGACATTAAAGTGATTTGCCCAAGTCTGGAAAGCGAACTTCTGATAACAAAACAGGGACTGGAAATCTGGTGCTCCTATTGTCATGTGCCTCATCTTGATAAACACCCTCCCTGGCATGCCTCCTCCCAGGGAGAGAAGTTAATGAACAAAAATGAGAGCAGCTCCATAGAAAGCCTCACGTACTGTACTACATGTGCCTCTGCAGGAAGCAGGGAAGGTCTGAATGATGCTTCCTTGGAGGGCCTGAGATTAGTGTCTGAATCAGAGCTCCAAAGGGGCTGGAGCAGAAGCTTGCATGGCGTTGTCTAGGAAACATGATGGAAAAATGGAGCTTAGCCATCAAACTGGTTACCAATGGACAGGGTTTCCAAGGTCCCGGAAAGGGAAAGAAGGCTGGCAATGTCACACAGTGAAAGACTAGACTAAGGTGGGAAGCACTTCAATCCTAACCCAATGCCTGTTTTCCTAAGCCAGGCTGCCTCTCAGTTTGATGCTCCACTTGAAAGCCAGACCACAGAGCTTAAAGAACCCAACACAAACCAGAGGAAGCAGCAAGGTCAGTGGGGCCTAACCTTTTGTGAGCCCTGGACCGTTTTGGGAATCCGACAAAAGCTGTGTACTATCTTCCCAGAAAAAAAATTATAGATACATTAATGTATATTTCTCAATTCTCCATAAGCCCACTCCCCATAATATTTACACAAGAGAAATTAAGCAATATGTTCACATAAAAAACTATGTATGAATATTTATAACAGCTTCATTATAAATGCCCCAAATTGAATACAGACTAAATGTTCATCAGCTGGGGAATGAATAAACAAATTATGGTACAGACATACAATGAAAAATTTGCTCAGCAATAAAAAGGAACAAGCTACTAATACACACAACAATGTGAACGGATCTCAAAATGAATCTAAGTGAAAGAAGCCAGAATGCAAAGGCTACATCCTGCAGAATTCCATGTAGATGACATTCTGGAAAAGAAAAAAATTATAGAAACAGAAAACAAATCAGTGGTTCCAGAGGCTGGGGTTGCAGGGGAGAAAATTGCCTATAAATGTGCTTAAAAAACCTTTTTGGGATAATTAAAATATTTTATATATTGATTATAATGGTGGTTAAATGACTATATAGGTTTGTCAAAATTCATAGAACTGTATAAAAGGAGTGAATTTTACTATATGTAAATTATACCAAAATATAGTAACGCACCACATAATGATGTTTTGGTTAACAATGACCTGCTTATATGACGGTGGTCCCATAAGATTATAATGGGGCTGAAAAATTCCTATTGTTTAGTGATATCTTGGCCATAGTAATGTAGCACAATGCATTACTAATGTGTTTGTGGTGATGCTGGCTTAAACAAACCTACTGTGCTGTGGTTGTATATAAAAGTATAACACATACAGTCATGTACAGTACATAATACTTGATAATAAGCAGTTATGTAACTGGTTTATACATTTACTATATATGTTGTTATTTTACAGTGCACTCTTTCTACTTATAAAAAAAGGTAGCTGTAAAATAGCCTCAGGCAAGTCCTTCAGGAGGTATTCCAGAAGAAGGCAGTGTTATAGGTGATGACAGCTCCATGCGTGCTATTGCCACTGAAGACCTTTCAGCCGGACAAGCTGTGGAGGTGGAAGAAAGACAGTGATGTTGGTGATCCTGACCCAGTGTAGGCCTAGGCTAATGCATGTGTTTGTGTCTTAATATCTTTACTTCTTAAACATTTAAAGTTTAAAGATATAAATTCTCTAGTTTGTGTCTTTACCCTTTAAACATTTTCTAACCAAAAAGTTTAAAAAGTAACAAAAAGTTAGAAATAGAAAAAGAAAAGCTTATAGCATAGGGATATAAGGAAAAAAAAGTTGTATAGTTGTACAATGTGTTTGTGTTTTAAGCTGTTACTACAAAAGAGTCAAAAAGTTAAAACATTTAAAAGTTTGTACAGTAAAAAATTACAGTAAGCCAAGTTCACTTTATTGTTAAAGAAATTAGCCAGACATGGGGGCAGGTGCCTGTAATCCCAGCTACTTGGGAAGCTGAGGCAGGAGAATCGCTTGAACCTGGGAGGTGGAGGTTGCAGTGAGCCAAGATCTTGCCATTGCACTCTAGCCTGGGTGACAAGAGTGAGACTCCATTTCAAAAACAAAATGAAATAAAAATAGACTTCTAAATAAATTTAGTGTAGCCTAACCGTGGAGTGTTTATAAACTCTATAGTAGTGCATAGTAATGTCCTAGGCCTTCACATTCATTCATCATTCACTCACTGACTCACCAGAGCAACGTCCAGTTCTGCAAGCTCCATTCATGGTAAGTGCCTTATACAGGTGTACTAGTTTTCATCTTTTATATTATATTTTAACTGTACCTTTACTATGTTTAGATATATTTAGATACACAAATACTTACCATTGTGTTACACTTGCCTCAGTATTCAGTACAGTAACATGCTGCACAGGTTTGTAGTCTAGGAGCTATAATCTGTATCATCCAATATAGCCTAGGTGTGTAGTAGGCTACACCATTTAGATTTGTGTAAGTAACACTCTGTGATATTCAAGCAATGGTGAAATTGTCCACTGACACATTTCTCTGAATGTATTCCAATTGTTAATGGACACATAACTGTAAATGAAGTTTTAAAGCATTTCATGTAGGGTTACAGAGAGTACATAGACCAATCTTCAGACTTCAGGTGAGAGATCCTTGCTCTAGAGTTAAATAAGTTTTAAAGTGGAAGGGCCTTTCGAAATATCTAGAACACACCTGCTTATTTCAAAAATAGGAAAACTAGAGACTAGGAACATAAAATATTGTCTCCAAGATCACATTTCTTACTAGTAATGTTTATTCTTGCAACAAATATTGGTTGAACACTTAACTGCATTTGAGATACTACCTTAAGGGTTCAGGGGATCCAAACTAATAAGAAAAATGAGACTTACTGCCTTGGAAAAACTCCCAGCAACTCTGTTGTGTATTCTCAATAGATTATAAAGGCTTCAGGGAATATTTAGCTTCCGGATCTTGCTGGAGCACTGGACTGGGAGCTAGGAGACATATTAAGTCGGCTGCAGGGAAGAGCGACCTTTTGAGGCACCAACTGATCTCTGAGCCTCTCCTTTCTTGGCCATAACTAAATGAGAGAATAGTTGAATTCCTAAAAGGACCAACTTTCGCCCCCACACTGTGCAAAGATCAAGAATAGCCCCAGAAACACCGTGTAGTTCAACAATTAAAAGCTCTGAAAAAATTGCAGCTATAACAAAGGTTCAAACCCAGGCCACATACTACTCATTTCACCATGAACAGATAGATTAACAGCTTTAATCCTCAAGTTCTTAATGGAAAATGAAAAACAATGATACCTAAGTGTCCCAAGTTTGGCATGATGGTTCAATAGGATAAAGCATGTGCCTGACACAGTGCAATCTTTTAATGAATGGCAGTGCCTGCTGCTCTAAATGCCTTCATCATCAATACCATCATTCCAGTTTCTACTTTCACTTTCTGTATCACAAGAAATTCTCCTCCTGATCACAAAGGTCAGATCGCTCTTTAGCTGTCAGGACAATTTTAGCTTCTTTCCCGTTGGATCAAATGATTCGACTTTCAGCTGGGGAAGAGTTATCAAGTTGCTGAAGTGTACACCTGAGTCTCCTTTAGCAGTCTGTCAGACTGACTGAAATTCCAGCCCAGACAGGTCCATTCAGACACACTGAAGCCTTCTAGATCAGTCTCTGTATGCAGAGACCAATCAATCGCTTCCCGCCCTAAGCTTTCCATGGCAACAGGCTTGTGCCCAGCTGCCTTCTTCCATGAGGCCCTGGTCTTTGCGTTGCAAGTGAGTCTTAGTGGAATAAGGAAGGGGGAAAATACCTGCCAGGAGAAGTGGTTATGTAACAATCTATTACAACATTCCTCCAGTGCAGCAGGAGCAGTGTCAAAAACATATTAAGGTTGAAACATTATAAATGATAAAACATTGATGTATACCTATTGTTTTTATGGTACAAATTTCCTAAAATAATGTGCCTCAAATTTCTCTTCGTTGGTAGGAATGCGCGAAAAATGAAATGGAATTTGCTCCCTGTATGTAGTGACACTCAATGGTGGACATCCTTCAAAGTTAGGTATATCAGAATCTAGTATGGGACAGCAGAGTGTGAGGCTTTTATGAACATCCAAAGAGATCATTATTGGTTCTTTTTTAAAAAGTTGCAAAACGCTGCTGTAGTGAGACCTCAAAATCTAAAGTCTATAAAAAAGGTGTTTACTCTATTTCATATCCTCCTGTGACATGTACATTATGATAAATTCCAGGCTGCTGTATGCTAAGAAAATGCCTACATCACTGAGAATCAGAGGTTCCAAGCTGCATGTCCTGGTAGCAAAAGGAACCCATGTGTTCTCAAATGGAGAGCCTCCTTCTGAGCTGAGTAGAAGTATGGCACAACCCTGGTTTTAACTAGTTTCAAGGCTGCAGTATTTGATTCAGGAGAAAATGGTCACTATACTAGTAGACAGGGAAGAAAGGACATTTACCTTTATATCATATTTCTCTGCATCTGGCCTACTACCTGCATCAAAATCACTTGGATGAGTTTTCTGAAAAATGCCACTTCCTGGCCAGGTGCAGTGGCTCATGCCTGTAATTCCAGCACTTTGGGAGGCTGAGGTGGGCAGATCATGTGAGGTCAGCAGTTTGTGACCAGCCTGGCCAACATGGGGGAACCCCGTCTCTACTAAAAATATAAAAATTAGCCTGGCATGCTGGTGGGCACCTGTAATCCCAGCTACTTGGGAGGCTGAGGCAGGAGAATCGCTTGAACCTGGGAGGCAGAGGTTGCAGTGAGCCAAGATCACGCCACTGCATTCCAGCCTGGGCAACAGAGTAAAACTCCATCTCAAAAACAAAACAAAGCAGCAACAACAACAAAAAACCACTTCCTGAGCCCCACCCCAGATTTACTGACTCGGAATCTCTGGGAGTGGGACGTGGACAGTCATTAACTAGAGTCTCAAGGGATTCCGATACACATAGTCCTTTGATAATATACTTAAAAAACATGGATCTAGAAGAATGAATTCACCATGACAGCATTTTCAGCTCAGAGAAGTGGCTAGCCTGAAAGGAAATTTCTGGTCCTGAGAAATGTTTCAGCATCAACTCTCCAATTGCAGACCTCAAATTAAACTATTGAGAGAGTTACCTACTCAGTACACTCATATAACTAGGCAATTAGACCTGGCTGACTGCTTCATTCTCACCTGAAAGGAGAGGCTGCCACATAACTTACAACTCAACCCATCAAAGAAGCTCACAGAGTTTTGAACCACTTATAAAGACAACTGGAACTATTTTTCTCTATGTATCAGCTCTTCTATTTCATAATTATGTGATCTTGAGCAATAACTGGGTGGGGAAGGGGGAGGGTAAGGACCTGTTTTCTAATCTGCACCCCATTTATTACAGTAGGTAGCTAGTCAGACACGAGCAGGACAGGAGAGGGTCCCCCCTGCTGCCACCACAAGAAATGTCAGGCAACCATCAGATGATAGGCGATTATTAAACTGTCTCTCTAAAATAATAATTGGTTGCAGCCAGTGCCAGGGAAAGGCAGTTTCCCAATGGATAGAAAAACCTGAAACTGGTGATCGCATTTTCCCAATATCTCAGAAACTGGGTGAATGAGCTCAAGCATGCACACTAAGAGGCAAAATGGTGGAGTTTAACTGGCATATGGTTCTACGAATACTGGTAAGGGAAGAATGCCTCACGTGAGCATGGATACAACTTCAGTAAACACACTGTGCATGCGGCTCCTCACAAGCACTAACAGGCCACTGTGCATATGGACAGTCCATCCCAATGGAAGAATCAGTGGAGAAGTAATGTAAGACCCCCGAAGCACACCAGCACATAAAACCCCAAGTCAGAGGTCAAACCATGCACTTGGTCTCTCAAGTCTCCCCGTTAACCCTCTTCCAAGTGTACTTTACTTTCTTTCATTCCTGTTCTAAAGCTTTTTAATAAACATTCACTCCTGCTCTGAAACCTGCCTCAGTCTTTCACTCTGTCTTATGCCTCTCATTCGAATTCTTTCTTTTGAGGAGGCAAGAATTGAGGTTGCTGCAGACCTGTATGGATTCACCACCAGTAACACATCTACCATCATAAAATGGGAATCCCATGAGCATCACCAGGGTGAAATAATGTTCTTTTGGCTGAAGACCCACTTCTTTCTCTTTTAGTTAAGAAGGAATGTTGGAATGTAAGTAAATAAGAGGAAAAACTACTTTCCACAGGAATATCCTTGACACCACTGTCATTTATGCTTTTAAAAGCAAACTCTGGCTAGATGCAGTGACTCATGCCTGTAATCCTGGCACTTTGGGAGGCTAAGGTGGGAGTATTGCTTGAGGCCAAGAGTTTGAAACCAGCCAGGGCAACATAGCAAGACCCTGTTTCTACAGAAAAAGGTTGTTTGGAAAAGAAAAGCTGGAGAAATAAATAAATAATTCATCCTAAGCTTAGATACTTAACAAGGAAAGCTTCATTTTGACATCTCTTTGAACTTATGAAAAAGGACAGACCAGAAGATCTCTTAGGCTTTGCTATGCAAAATATGATTGGGGGACCAGAAGCATTGGCTTGTAAGAAATGCTAAACCTTAGACCCTGCCCCCACAGAATCTGCATTTTAACAAATCTCCAGGTGATTTGTATGCACAATAAATTCTGAGTAGTATTCTTCCAAGGTACTGGTTCTTAGATGAACTGATCTGTATACTGGAATCATCTGGGGAATTAAAAAAAAAAATCCTGACAGCTTGGTCCTCCCCAGAGATTCTTATTTAATTGGTACTGGATGCAGCCTGGTTATAGGGTATAGGTGATTTTGATGTGAAGTAACATTAGAAAATCCTTGTTCTCAGGGACTCCTTTAGCTTTCAAACTCTGTAAGTCTGTGAACTTGCCAAAAAGAGCAAAAACAGGCCACTAATTGAAATACCTTTAGGAGTCAAGCAGGTAATGTAAAGGAGTCACACAAGCTGGTATGGACAGCAGCAAACTGGAGAGTGTGGGTTCTTACAGGACGTGGCCAGCATTCGGCTGTTACCCTTAAAGATGGGAGTCCAGTACTGCCAAACCTTCTTCTTTTTTTTTTTCTTTTTTTTTGCTGAAAATCCAAATTTCTATTCAAAGTCTCATGATGTTTTTTTGTAATGTTGATCGCAAAGTCAATTTTCTTCTCTCTTCCTCTTAAAAAGTTATGCTACACATAAAATCACTGGATGCAATCCATAGAACACCAGTTTGGGACCTCTGGTGCAGAGAAAACAGGCCTACAGATCTACCCATAGAAAGAGTCTGAGCCTCACCCCACAAAACACTGGCAGACAATTCCAAAGTGATGATTCATTCTGAATAGAGCATGTGACTGCTTCGGAGAGGATGAGGGGGGGCTTTCTCTGCCTTCTTTCTTGAAGGAATTAGGGTGACTATAGTATTTTCCCTTTGAAAAAGGAACCACATACTTTACAATGTATCATGATCACAGAAAGGAAACACTCTTGGCATAACTGAAGCTAGGTCCTGGAAAACACTACTCCTCAAAGAAGTTCAAAGAACAGAGTGCCAAGGCTATGACACAGCATGAAAGCAGGGGTTCAGGGAGGAGGATGGGCTATGAAAGCATAGTGATTGGCTGTAATCTTCATGAGACAAGAATGTACTACAGCAAAAGGGCTATGAATAATGCAAAGACTACTCCTGGGAGAAGGAGCCTTCTGAAGGTGATTTACAGTTCTGATGGTTGAGACAGTTCATTTCAGATATTGCAAGAGACATCTGGCTCTATTTACAGAGCTATCTGTTCTCTTCCATTAATCGAAATCCCATCCAAACTGGAGCCTTTAAAGACTACTGGGAAATGTGGTCATATGAGCAGAAAAATGGAGAGTGGTCACATGAAAGATGCAGTTTCTATCAAAGGTTCAAATGAAATAAAATAAAAAGTCCTTTAGGAATCATAGGCCTGCTCATTAAGAAACAAACAAACAAAAAAAACTGTAAAAAGATCCGATTTTATTCCAATGAATAATATCATTCTACAACATTCAAATAAATGTATGTCTTTCTAGTGAGACTAGAAGCCACACGAAGACAAATAAAATCAACACATACATTAACTATGCATGACCGAGCAAGGCCGATTTGGTGTAGGGAATGCTACAGAAAATATTACATCTTCTATTTGTGCATATCCTGAGTAGTCTATTAAGGGTCTAGACACATAATAAAACATAATCAACACTTACATGACTCTTGAGCCAGTTATGAATAATAGCTTTTAAAAAAAACTGCATTGACCTAAAGCAGTGGTTTTCTTACTGTAATCCCCAGACCAGCTATATCAGCATCACTTGAGAGCTTGTTAAGAATATAAATTCATTGTATACATATGTAACTAACCTGCACATTGTGCACATGTACCCTAAAACTTAAAGTATAATAATCATCATCATAATAAAAAAGAATATAAATTCTTGGGTCCAACCCCAGACCTACTGAATTAGAACCTCTGGGGGTGGGATCTGGCAATCTGTGCTTTCTCAAGCCGTCCAGATGATTGTGAGGCAGACTGTACATTATTTCAGTTAATTCTTACAACATCCTATTAAGATAGACAGGTTAGGATTTACATCCTCATTTTAGCTGAGGAACAGGTAAAGTTATTTGTCCAAGGTCAGAATGTTAGTAGCAAAATGAAGATGCTAAGCTTTTTCTACCTTGATATTGAAGGAAGATTTTAAATTTTCTAGCAGTAGTTGATTTGGTTCTAGTTGCAAATATGGTTTTTTCCTTTACCTTAACAATTGTACCTATTAGAATAGGTACAATAATAGTAACAATTCATCCAACCAGTTGTGCCATTCAAGCAATAATAGTAACAATTCATCCAACCAGTTGTGCCATTTTTTCCTTATCTGAGTGCTTCTGCTCCTACCCTGCCTTAATTTTTTTTTTCATCTTTTAAAGCCCACCCCAATGCCTGCCTCTACTGTTAGCCTCTCCCATTCACCCCTGGAGAGCCTTCATGACACAGCTCTCTACTTCTTGATCTTCTAGGACAGCTGTGTGTACACGTCTTTACCCCACAGTGGACTCGACTCCCTGGTGGGAAATGAACATATCTTAGCATATCTATATACCCCTAACACCTGACATAGAATAATTTGGAGCTGGAAAGGAAAAAAAAATAAAACACCTGCTGAATCCTGTAATTATTAAACACCAACCATGTCACAGATCCTAGCCTAAGCTTTCTCTATAGCTCATTGTATTTTAATATTCAATGCAATCTTCTAAGGAACATATTTTTGTCTCTATTTTAAAGACTGGAAATTGAGACTCAAAGAGATTAAAGAGATGATCCAATTTCATACCGATAGTAAGCGATAGAACTGGAATTCTTGATGAGTACTGTAACGCCTCTCTACTTCTTATTTAATGGATGGAGGACAAATGCCTAGATGGATAATATAATTTTCTTAGTCCCACATAAAGGGAATGAAGGCAGTTTTGGAATGCAGACCTGAGTCCACTTTGCAAGCCACCCTTCTATCTCCCCTGGGCATCATAACAGTAGAAAAAAGATCTTCTTGGAATTTCTAGATCACTTTGAGAGATGCTTCCATTCTACAAGTGGGTTGCCTGACAATTAGTTTCCTGGAAAATTTTTGAAAAGGGAGGGGAAATCGTTTTCTTTCCCAGAAAATACCACAGTCCATTCTTTGGCCATTTTTGCCCACTTTTTGGATGTTGTTGCCTTGAGCTCTTTAGAATTTTACTTTCTGATCTCAGACCCACAATAAACCCAATTTCACCCTGAACTTTCTCAAGTCTAGAGGACCTTTCTTCCAGACTCCAATCTGATTTTGTTGCTGTTTCTGGGTGGGTACTGAGTTTTTCAGAGTTTAAATTTATGGCTATCTTTCTTTTTCCTGATTAAAACCCAGTGGTGACTGTTAACCTCGGAAGACCCTGCTTCTGCTCTTGGAGGTGGCAGAGAAGTCTCAAGGATCCACAAGTAATAATGTATTGTGCAGAGCTCTGTTTCAAACCTGAAAATAAACTCAGTGAGCCTGATTACTAATATTTCAAAGTGTTGGCCATGCCTGGCACTGAACAATGATGAGAACAGGGATCATTAATGTGTACCATCTCAATTATCCAGCCTGGTTGAAAGAACCAGGTTTTAACCTGGTTGAAAGGAGGGGGAGCTCATTTTCTGGTTAGCTGATTGTTAACTCTTTAAGTTCATCAGAGCTGTTTGCTACCTAAATATCTCACTTCTGAGCTTTAGAAGTTGTATAGTATTTACTCAAGTTTGTTGTTTTTAAAATACACAGACATCCTAAACATCCAATAAAGACTCTGTTGAACACATTATGATATATTACATCAAGGAATTCGACATAGCTATTTAAGAGCTAGTGTGAATGCCTATTTATTAACATGAAAGATGCTCATAATATAATAACAGTGAAGAATGAAAAACTGTGCATACACCATAATCCCAGTCTTAGAAAATAATAAAAAACCCAACATATGAATAGCAGGTCTAAAGGGACATATAGCAACATAATAAGAGGGTTATCTCAGAGTTGTGCAATGATAGATACTTTGATTCTATTCCCCTTTTTCTCACATTTTATAGTTTCCCATGATAAACATGTATCCCTCATATAATTTGAAAGGATACTGCTTTTTATAACAATAACACACAAACCTACACATATAACTGACCAACAACTGGCTAAACCATCAGTCCTGAAGTTAGTTTTGTATAAAAATTGGCCTGATTGAAATATTTCTGTATCTAGAGAAAACTAATATGAATTTTAGTCCCAAATATGCCCCTAACTACTGCTGTACCTCTGACAACAGGGACATTTAGTCTCTGGGTCTCAGTTTACTTGTGAATACAATGGTACAACACCATTCGCCTTGCAGACCCCAAATGATGAAGTTCTATTTCAGAACTGTGTTTCACAATTGAGAAGATTTTTAAAAAATACATATTGCTGGGACCCACCTCAGGCCATCCCAGGACCATGCGGAGCTCACGAGAAAGTGCTGAGCTAATTTTTATGAACTGGTTGGCAAGGTGGCTCTCTTTCCAGGACATGAGCTTATGTGGTCTAATACAACATGAATTCTGTTAGTTGAAATCACAGCACCTTAAAAGCAAAGGAAGAGTCAGTATGTCTGCCATAGACTGAGATCCTGCTAACATTACCAACCAGGCTCAGCCTGCTCAAGCAGGAGTAAAAATTCATGCAAGTGATGTATATTATATTTCAACAAAAATTTTTTTTATGAGAAGGGGTTCATTTACCAAAAGACAATGTCACAATAAATGGAGACATGGGGTATGTCAAAAATCTAGGACGTTTATATTTTAAAGGGGCTTTAGTGATAATTATATCTGACCTATACCTAGTATAGCCCCTCTATACCTGACTCCTGGTCACCTCTGATTCAGTGTCTCTCAGACCAGGGCTCATTAGTTCACTCTGCAGTGGATTCACTCTTTGGATGGTGCTAACTGTGATAACATCCTTCCAGCTAATTACTCCAGGTTCTTCCACAGGTCTGAGCTCTGCTACATGGAGCCACATAAAAGTTCCACGAGGTATTTTATTAATGGCTCTAAACTGTGTTACAAGTAACTAGCTATTACTAATATAGTCATGAAAGTTTCAACCAAAGTACTGATTATAAATCAGAGGATATTTTGGCTTCTCCCTTTCTAATGTATTTTCCAATCTGCATCCATAAATAGGGGAGAGAAGTGTTGAGTTACAACTCCCACATGGGGAATAAGAAGTAGTTGCATCTGTCACAGGAGCTAGGAAGGGTAGAAGGTTGTTGATTACTGTGGCAATGTAGCACTTTATTTATTAAGGGTCAGCTATCATGCCCCATCCTTAGCAAATATTCCTTAAGTGCCTACTGTGTCCAGGGTATTGAACTATGTGGTTAAAAGAGAGAGAAATAGGAGACATTTCTATAGCCTAGATCAGGGGTGTCTCAAAGCCTAGACATTGAGACAGGCTAGATCAGGGGTGTCCAATCTTTTGGCTTCTCTGGGCTGCATTGAAAGAAGAAGCATTGTCTTGGACCACACATCACATACACTAACACTAACAATAGCTGATGAGCTAAAAAAAAAATCACACAAAAAGTCTCATAATGTTTTAAGAAACTTTACAAATTTGTATTGGGCCTCATTCAAAGCCGTGTTGGGCTGCATGCGGCCTGAGGCCCACGGGTTAAGCTTGGCCTAGGTGGTTATGAGATTTTTGATATTAAAAAGAAAAAATAATTCCAAATAATGTTCACATACTGATGCATTTATTCAAATATTTATCAGACACAACTAAGTGCTAGGGATAACATGGTGAAAAAATTAAAAAACAGAGAAGGACATTGCTTTCATGGAGATTACATTCTGGTCTGTCTCTACTTACACATTTTGGTGATTTAGCTCTCTGCCCTTCAACTACAATAAAATCTTGGTTTCAAAGGATCCTTATAAGGCACTGGTCCAAGTGCTGGTTCTTCACATTAACATACCCACTAATGAAAGAATGCTGCAGTTGTGCAATAGGACAATGTGTTGGTTAGGAGTGTCAGCTGTGGGAGCAGAGCTGAGTTTGAGGCCTGACTTTGGCACTTATAATAAACTGTGTTTCCTTGGGCCAATTATCAAACCTGACTCTCAATTTCTTCATCTGTAAGACGTTCCCCATACCTGCTTCCCATGACTGTTGGAACAACTTGAGATGATGCTTGTGGAGCCCTGGGCACAGTGCCTCAGTGAATGGCTGCTGCTGTGCTAATGACCATTACATTATAATAAGCATAAATTATCATCATCGGTAATAATTATTGAATTCCTTCATTCATGGAGAACCTATGGGAATGACTTTAGCATCTTCTGATAAGTAAGGTAACAAAGCACTTCCAAAAAATTTTATAAAATGTAAAGCTCCAGGTGCATAATCTGTGTTACAACTAGCCATAACAGAGCTCCCTGTGACTTCCAGCCATTTAACTTTGCTCCATCTCTTCCCTGATGTTTGCACAATGATGATTCCTCTAGATTGAAGGGACTTCTTCAACTCTTCCTTCTTGGAGAAAGTGAAAACCTGCCTCTACCTTAGTAAGTCTCCTTTCAACATAGGTCAATCATACGAACATCTAATGTTCCCCTACAAATTCATCCTCAAACATCAATGAACAAGTTAAGTACCTAAGATGTTTGTTATATTGGAATGCATTTCCAGTGACACACGCCTCAGTAATTATATTCTTTGGACCACCTACTGGAAAAGAATTGTTGGCCCTCACTTTGTTCCCAATAGGGAGGAGTTACACATAAAATTGAACATGTTTCAGGACACTGATGAGGACATATTTGCTAATAGGCAGGGCCATCATGCCTTAAACAGGGGTTGGCCGACTATGGTGTGTGGGCCAAATTCAGCTATCTGTTTGTAAATAAAGTTTTATTGGAATACAGCTATGGCCTTCATTTAAATATTATCATTCAGGAGAATGCCATCTCAGGAGCTTCAATTATAAGAGGGACCAATCAGTTGCTGCCTTCACTCTCCAGCAGCAAAGTTGAGTAATTGTGACAGAGACCGTATGGCTCACAAAATCTAAAACATTTACTATCTGGGTTTTTACAGAAAAGGTTTGCCAATCCCTGCATGCCAAGCTTAGCATGCAGTTAGCTCCCACATTGCTGTAGTGGTGAACTAACCCGGGACCCAAGCAACTAGGACAAGTCTGATGTTCTCCCTCCAGTATGTTCTTTGCAAATATCCTTAAGCCGACCCTGAAATGCATAGAAGGTTATGATTTGCAGTGGATACAACTATTCCTGTATGTCAGACTGCCATGCCATCTTAAAGATACCCAAACTTCCCCCCAGTCCCTGAAGACATCCAGCCTATAAATTGTCTTATTTAACTCACCCCTCCTTCTGCATTGTACATACCCCTCAACCATTTCAAATCAATCTTTAACTTTTTTCTACAACCTCTGGCAAAACCCAGTTATACTGAACTATCATAACTGTCGTTCTCCCTCAATTTTGCAACCTTTCAACTTTTTCAGTGTCTCCGATGAGCCTGGACCCTTGATCCATCTCCAAAATGAATGCCTTTCCGTTTGACTACTTGTCATGAATCTCCATCTTTCAATGTTTCTATTAAGGTCAGCCAGGAGGACCAGGGATGGATTCAGGGTCTCCTCAGAGCACATGGCGCCTTCCTTAAACACAAGAGAACTAGAAACATTTAGACTTAGAACCGTATTGTATGTCATAACAGAAGAGGAAGCTAAAGGTTAGAAAAAAATCAAAAAGCTTTCCCAAGTTGCAGAGGCAGTTCCTAGCAGACTTGGAACTAAGACCACAGAATCCAGTCTGGCACTGCTTTCCACAAATTACCTCATTTATTTTGGGATTCTAAGGAGAAGCCATATTTTTCAGTAATATCTTTCCCATTTCCTCTATCTTTATCATAATACTGGCCACACTCACTATCACCAACGTCATTTTCTGAATCCTTTCCATGTCTCTTCCATCTTACTAGCTATCTTTTCCTCTCGGCTTTTCCCTGACCTTGGCATTTTCCAGATATCCTGCCTTTGGTTTATCTAAATTAAATCTCTTCCCATGACTATTTACCTATTTCTCTAAGCTCTTCAATCTGGTTGGTAATTTATTTTATCTTCTCCTGTGTTTGCAATCCTATGTAATTTGGTAATGTCTGTAAATCTGAATAAAGTAAATTAACTTTATCTTAGGTCATTATAGACTTAAATAAACCATTTCATTATAGACCCTGGTGGAGCAGGACTTTTCCATTTGATGTGGGGAGAACCTCCCTGACTTTCCTTTGTCTTTCCCAGCTGGAAGGGGTGATGCCATGAGCACAGATGACCTGCCTAGTGTCATCATGCTCATGGATGGTTGAATGGAGAATAGAAGATATCTCCCTCAGACCCATTGCCTGTTGCCAGAGGAACCATGCTTTCAGATAATAGTATCTCCCCTGGGACATCACACCTTGACTGAGCCTTCAGAGACCCCACCAGAGGAGGTTACCAAGGAAAAGACTGACTTGACTGCATAGTCACTGGCAGCAGGCCTTGGGGTTCCTGCATAATCCCATTCCTAGCATTCTTATCACAGTGATATCATTCCTCATTTGACTTTTAAACTCCCCTGTGGGATATAAAACACTTTTTTCCCAGATTCTGTGTGACTCCCTGGCTTACCTTTTTCAGGCCCTGCTCAGATATCACCTTATCAGAGGCCTTCCCTCACCACCCTATTTAAAGAGTGACCCCACCCCCAACATACACACATATTCCCTCACCCCCTCCATGCTTTATTTTTTCCCACAGGACTATATATTTCACCTGGCATTTGCTTGTCTGTCACTAGACTCGACTGAAAGCTCACTGAGGGCAGGCACTTTAGTTTGTTTTGCCCACTATATTCTAGTGCCTAAAACAGAAAACCAAATATCTATTGAATGAATGAATGAGTAATTATGAAGCTGCCTCTGATGGTTTAGCCCTCGTACATAGAGAAGACTTGACAGTTTTCAAAGAGCTTTGACTTTTTTTAATCTCATTTGATTTCCATAAATGCTAGAATTATCTCTATTTTCAGAAAAGGAATCTTAAGATTAGAAAACAAGTAAATTCCTCCCTCCCTCACTCCTTCTCTTTCTTCCTTCTTTCCTTCCTCATTCAAGTAACCAACAGTTGAGCACTTTACATATATATGATGACATCATATGGCCTGTATCAAATTCTGACTTTGTCTTAGTTTACTAAATGTAGGCTCTCAGGAAATTACTCAACTTCTGAAACCTCAGTTCACCCACTTGAAAGATGTGGAGTACTGGCCATATCTAAAAGAAGTCAAAAGGATGAAATTAGATATATGCAAGTACTTAGTACCATGCCTTGTATATACAATAGTAAACTCTCTACAAATGTTAGCTGTTGATTCTTATCATCCTCATTTGTTACTATCATCATCATCACCACCACCACCACAACTGCCACCATTATAATATTACCACTGGGATTACAACATTGTCACCATTCCAACATTGCCACCATTACCTCCACTCAGGTATCACCAGGATCACCACCACCTCCATCACATCTCCATCACCATCACCAACCCTCCTACCATGTGTGCTAGGTATTGCGTTAGCCACTGTGGCTATAAAGGCAAAAATAAAAGGCAAAACATTTACTAGTTATGACCCATACTCTATGCTAATTGCTTTATGTATGCTTAATCCTTATAACAATGCTCTAAGAAGTGTATTTTTATCAGATAGCTAGATGACAGCCAAACCCTGGTTCCAACCCATATCTGTCTGATTATAACATTCTTGTTCTTAATCACTATACTTTACTCACATAATTTAGTGAGAGACGAAAGTGTTTATATAACTATTATAATATAATGTGATAAATGAAAAAAAAAGGCACTATGGAAGGACATAGGAGGGCCACCTGGCCAGACTGGGAGAAGAGGAAGTGGTTAAGGAAATCTTCTAGGAGGAGGTACCATGAGATGAATCATAGAAAATGAAATGAAGTTAGCCAAGGCTTCATAGCTAGCAAATGGCAGAGCAAAGACTAGACTCTGTGATTGCTAGTTCACTCCACTGTATATCTGCTGTAAACCTTCAATCTGGGACATGGAATTATTTTCTCTAGTTCCTGATCTCCAGTTGCTTGTAAACACTTACTCTTAGTAAAGTGATAATTTCATCCTATGGCAAATAAAGAATGCTTTGCCAAGTGCCATCAGCTGCTGTCAAGCCATTCTCATGGGATGTCATTTATTATACATCTGAAGTAAGTCCATGATCACAATGTGGCAACTCCTGCTTGCATGTTATTCCTTCAAAAGGAAGGCAGAATTGTGATCCATGCTGATTCCACAGCTGCTCAGTAATTAACAGGAAAAGAGAGGATTTGAATATCTCTCTACAAAGTGGAGAATGTAGGGGAGGCATAGAAGTTTGACTTATAGGGGTTCTATCTCTTGGTGTTATAGACAATGAGTTTGTCTTTGGATATCCTTCTGGATGGGGAAAGTTTGGTTAGAGCTACTCTCTGAACATCAAGCACTTTGGGATAGACACTTCAGCTGAGGCCTGGGGTATAATAGGCTCAGGTTCAATACTTATTTATCATCAGGAAGAACAGGCTGGCCCAGAAGGACAGAGCAGATTGGGATGAAGAGAAGTAGGTATCAGGGATCAAGGTGATGCCCAAAGTTCAAGTTGCAGGATGAATGGCCACAGTTCTAGGTATGTGCCCCATACCTGGCAACACTTTTCTTGTTTTTTTTTTTTTTTTTTTTTTTTGAAACAGGATCTCGTTCTGTCACCCGGCTGGTGTGCAGTGGCGTGATCTCAGCTCACTGCAACCTCCACCTCCCATGTTCAAGCGATTCTCCTGCCTCAGCCTCTCAAGCAGCTGAGACTACAGGTGTGGGCCACCATGTCCAGCTAATTTTTGTATTTTTAGTAGAGATGGGGTTTCACTATGTTGGCCAGGATGGTCTCAATCTCTTGACCTCTTGATCCGCCTGCTTTGACCTCCCAAAGTGCTGGGATTACAGGCGTGAGCCACAGTGTCCGGCCTTTTCTTGGTCTTAAATGAGGATTAGAAGTTGCCAGAGTGTATAGTCACTTCGAGAAATTAGTACTAATGATGAGCAAGGGGCAATGCTAGGTATACTGAGGGAATTTAGAGTTAATACCTGCATCATGTAGTTTTGTGCTGTAGTTCAAGTAATTTAACACTGGTTTCTTACCTCTAAAATGAGGCTAATAACACCTAATTTACAAGACTATAGTCATGAATGAAATGGGATATATGAAGCTCCTAGCATGTCACCTGGCACAAATAGTGTCCTTCAAATATTAGGTCCTTTCCTCTTCCCACAAGGAACTTTTAGACTGAAAGTTAATCTTGGGAATGAGAACAAAAGAGAAAGAGTAAATGAAGCTCAGGGGAAGTTGAGTGGTCAGAAGAAGGAAAAGCTCATGTCTACTCAGCATAAATGTGGTATTTAGGACAAGCTCTGTGAAGGAGGTAATGTTTGAGCTGGGTACGAAAGAATGGAGGAAGAATTTGCTTATACTGTGATTAGGGGCCAAGTTATGCCAGACAAAAGCATTAGGCACATGCAAAATGAAGGCAGTGGGAAAGTAGAGGTATGCTCAAGAAAAAATGTATTGCAGTTAGGCTGAAGAGAAGAGCCTGGAAATGGGAATTGTGACCTCCCGGGTCCTGCAGGTTTTGGGTACTGCCTGCCTCTCCTACATCATCTCATATCATTCTTACTTTATCTTACTTAGCTCCAGCCACACCAACGTTCATTCAATTCCCAAAGCTACTCAAGCCTTTTGTTGCCTCAGAGGCTTGTATAGATTCTTCCCTTTGCCTGGAACATTACCACAATATTTGTAGGACTGGGTTTTTCTCCTTTTTTGGGTCTCATATGTCCCCTCTTTTGACAGGCCTCCCCTTTGCTAGTCTTTATCGCTTTACCTTATTCTTTCCCTCTAAAGCACTTTCCCCCATCTGCGATTGTCCCGTTTATTTGTTTATTTTTTCCCTTAAATTTCATGAGAAAAGAGACCTTGTTCATCTTGGTCACAAGTATATTCTCAGTAACTAACATAGGGTCTGGCCCAGAGTGGTTGTCTCAAAAATAATTGGTGGATGAATTAATCAGTTGATCAATGAACCAGTTGGCCAACCATGGGAGTTGAGGCAGAGAGGACAGGCTAGGAGTGCTCTGGGGGGCCATGAAGTTCAGGTTGAGACTTAGTTTTTAGTCTCTGGATGATGGATATATGTGTTTCATTAGGAGGCAGTTTGAAAAAGACACACATGTCATAGACTCAGATCTCAATCCAGGGCATCCAGGATATGAAGAGTTAATCCAAGCCAGACCCTGCTGTAGTTTCCTTTCTACCCACTTAGCATTCATAGAAGTCTTCCTTCTTGTCTCTCCAGCAGGGCCTAAGCTGACTTTGCAAGAGATCTCGCTAAGCCTTTCTGCAGATGCTTGCCCGATCTGGCTGGCCCTGCTGGAGGATATATGCTGTTAAGGCAAGGCAGGCAGAGGCAGCTCTGGCTCGTCTCCACGTGCACTGGCTGGCTTTCCAGAGGGGACAATGCACCCCACAGACCACAGCTGTCATTTGGCCATCTCTACCTTCAACCTTACCAAGCACCTGGCCTCAGCACAGATTTTCAGAGAAAACTTTGAACAAAGCAACCCAACACTGTATTTGTAGAATTGGAAGGGACTTGGAGCCTTCCGAATGTGACCTGACTGCTCAAATGGAGAAATGAGAGTGGTTAGCTGAGCGCAAGCTTACACTGTAAGTTGCTGCTGAAACGGAGACCTCTTGATTCCTATTCACAGTTCAGTTCTACTCTTCAGTTTATCATACAGGCTTTAAGGTGATGGTTTGAATCTTATAATATCCCATGGTCAACTGGACAAATGATAAAAACAGGAAAAATTTCCAGAAATTCTTTTTCAGAATATCTTGGATGGAGCTTAGAAATTAACATTTTTCAACAAGTATACCTACACAGAAAATTCAGGTGCAGCTTGCCCGTGAGCAACATTGAGAAACTTGGGTTTAAAGGAATTCTGTATTTCAACTAACCAACCTCATTCTACATATGTACAAATTGAGGTACAAGAAGGTGAGCTAGCCATATAGCAATTTAATTGCTCAGTAAAGACTAGAACCCAGGTATGGTGAGTGGAATTTCCCAATGTGAGAATGGCATTAAACAACAGACTCACAATGCGTATGCACATTCATTTTAAATTTCCTTTTATTCCTGCTATTAAGTGAAAAAGAAAATCTGTTTGGTAAATTATTTATCTCCATACCTTGCCATTTCCCTTTTATTTTAAACAAAAAGAGGCAAGAATCAGGCTCAGAACGCTATGAATGCAATGGCATATGGCTAGAATATAATAACAATGCTTTGTTTTAATTTTATAGCTTCTAACTATTAATAGTGATACTGGTTTTTCTATTTGCAATAGTTGATATGTTTCCTTTTTAAATAACTTTAATTAAAATATGTTTGTTAAAGGAAAATATAAGTAAATGCACAGATATGATAAATACATGAAGATAGGAGAAGGGTTGTGTTTAGGAAACAGTGACCTAATTTAATCATTCTCTCAGCCCTGGCCAGCTAGTTACCCCTTCATGAGGTTTGATTAGTTCACAAACCCAGCCAGTGTCATTCCAAGGAAGATATTGACAGAAAATAATTCAAGAACAGAACCAAGAGTAGTTTTCAAGAGGAAGGACTTCATTGGAATTACACATGCTAGGATTAAGATATTTTAGTATAGGTTACAGGTAAGGTAGTTTTGAGGATCATAACCATCCAGAGGAATGAGGACAAATGATACCATATGAACGCACCTGTAGGATGTACCTGATTGCTTATGGAAACTGAACATGGCCTCTAAATCAATTGGTAAAGACCTAATTAGAGGGAGAAATAGGGACATGTTGTGCTAACGCAAGTGTCACACAAAAAGGGTGGGTGGGTGGCTGTGCAGTGGGACTCATAATCTGAAAGTTCAAGCGGAACAAATTCTAAACCTCCAAGATTGCAGTAGACCTCCCAGAGGGATTCCTAGCATTTAGCTGTGTGAGTGTCCTGTGAGCTGACTAAGAGCCACCTATTCTTACTTCATGTAGTGAACCTGCAGGCATAGCCAGACCTTGGGTGGTGGGAGGTGGGATGAGGGCAGATCTACCAGTTGCTGGGGAAGCAGACACATTAAAAAAACACCCCTCCACCTTTGACAGCCTCTCTACTCATCTTGTGGTCTTTGTTTCACATTGCTTCCTTTAAATCTTTTTGTCATAGACTTAACAATATATCACCTTAAAATGTCATGAGATATACACTTTAAATAAGTAAACTCTATGGCATATAAATTATATCTCAATAAACTGTTAAAAATGCCATAAGAATGCAGTCACTTCTGAATAATGTGATCAAGGGAGCACAATTCCCCCTACTTCCCATCATTTCTAAATATTTTGGGAGAACCAGCTTGCCCCCCTTTTATTGTGTATAAATATTCATCCCACTGTTGTTGAGTCTATGCCATCAATTTCCTTCCAGAATCTGTGGTTCTTATCTTCCACCATCACATAGGATGATGATTAGAACAAATCAGTCTCAGGTTTCTCAGATTCCAGCCCAGCTCCTCCTTGCCTTTCACTGTATCACCTCCCTGCCTCTTCTTCTTTGGTGCCTCCCCCTTCTAGGTGACACTTTGAACTTTCCCTTTCGTCTAATCACAGGGCTGGTAAGAGCACAAGCTGTTGGCTGAGACTCTATTAAACAAGTCTTAGTTTTCCAGTGGTTATTAAAAACAAACAAAAAACCACATCTCATGTTTTGATTGATTTTTATCAACCTGCAGATAAAAGGGCTGAGAGTATGGTTGCTTCATAGCAGCAGCACCTCCATCTTCACCTCTAACTTGCAACTTCACTGGCTGAATGTGCATTTGGTTGCAGCACTTATCTATCTTGAAGCCACTGGAGACCCTGGTTCTGACACCAAGGCCCTCACACTATTATGAAGTCCCTTACAGACATGATTACAGAGGTAGATTGCTATGGACCTAAAACACAATGCAATTTATTTCTGTGAATCACCTTTCACACTAAAGACATCACAGACAATGCTTAGGCAGCAGCGCAGAAAGGGACCCAGGCAGCGAGACACAGAGAGCAGGAGATGCACAATAGCTTGACTGGGAGGCTGCGGAGGTGGGGAGAGAGAGGGAGAGCCAGGGACATGCGGAGAATGAAGAATGCTCTCACCAGCCAAGCTCCACGGGGCCCTTCGCTAGGCAGGTCTGCGGGGGAGAAATCATTAGTTTTCCACTGGGCCTTGATGTGCAGGGTCTGGTCTCCAGGCTGCTGCAGAATTCCAGAGCTGGCATTTGCTTTGCAAAGTGCGTTTATGATCCTCTTATGTGTCAGGAGCCAGGGATATGGAGGAGAGCAGACATCATCTCTTTCCTTATGCAGTTTATAATCTACTGGCACACACTGTATGGCGTTGAGAGGGGACAGCAGGTATCTTTGGAATGTTAGGAGATTACCTGGTTCCCAAGATGTCCGATTGCTTTTATTATCCCAGGGTTCCCTGGCCACCAACTAGGCCTGTGGAATCTCTCTCTACAAAATGGGTAGCATTAATATTTTCATTTTATGGTTGAGGAAACTGAGGCCCAGAAAGAGTAACTAACTCACCCAAGGTCTGTCTGTTAGCATAACTAGTATTAAAACCCAGATAGTCTTATCTCAGGGACTTCAAACTTTAACCACAAAGATGACCTGTCTCAACGAAGGCACTGGCAATACTGATGGAGAAGAGAGAATTGACCGGAAATATTAAAGATGTAGAAAAATAAGTCTTCTGCCCTTTCTCCATAACCTCAAGTTAGTTAAGAGGTTAGCAGAGGTGATAGAATGAAACAAAATGTTTCTAAATTTAACATGAGCACAAAAGTTAAGGTTTTTCTCCACCATCATGTTAGTTGAAATTTTCACTATCTGCCCAATGGATTCCAAAAGCTATTTCCAAAGAAATGGAATGCAAATTAATGGATTCTATTCAACACACTTTGCTGGGGTGTCTCTTATGTGAAATGTACTGCACTTAGATGCTGGGCTGGAGGAGGTTAGGAGGGAGGAGGCAAGAGGAAGAAGAGAGAAAGGAGATGGACAGATGAGCACAATAAGGCCCTTTCCCCCAAAGGAGCTGTCAGTCTAACAGTCATGCATACAAATCTTGCTAATGTACGGCAGAATGATAAGGGATATAATGGGGGAAGGCTAATTCTTGTGGAGGTAGGGGTGGGAGATTGAGGAAAGCTTATTGGTAGGGATTAGATCTAAACTTGGCCCTGAGGGACGATTAAAAGTCTTGAGAGGAGACAGGGATGAAGAAAGAAAAAAACGGAGAGCATTGCTGGCAAATTGAGTTTGGTCAGAGGGCAGAAACAGGAGGGAAATGAGGGAAATCTGGCTATTGTTTAGAACACAGACAAGAATTTGTGGCATAATTTAGGGGAGGGGTGTGGAAGGACAATTGAGATGGGACAGGGTCAGAGTCTGCTGAGCCTTCAATATCACACTACGGAGGCTGGATTTCCCCAGGTGTGGAACAAGGAGTGCCACAGTAGATGATTTGTTTTAAAAGGACGATTCTGACAGCAAGAATTGGGATGGATTTGGCAGTGGGTAAGCAGTGGTGGCAGAAGCCAGTTAGGAGCTGCTGTCGGTATTTCCTGCCACCATTGACAGCGTGACAGATTAGAGGGAGACAGTAGAGGTAACAGCTCCAGAACTTGGTGGCAGATCAAAGACATGGATAAGGGAAAAAGAATCAAAAGTCTCTTGGTCTCTTTCTGGGTGATTAGGTGGATTGTGGCACTGCCACTGAGTTAGGGAGTGCAAGAGGTAAGACAAGGTGGAGGTGAAAATTGTACTGATCTTGGATTTGGATATGTACATCTAATGACCAGCTGCCATTCATAGACACTATTTTATGTTAGGAATGGATGCCTAATAGTGCCAACTTGAGACCAAGAAATAAAAGATAAAAACTGTTCACATTCACATTACTCACCTAAACACATGTCCTGAAACAAGTTGAATTATTTACACTCTTTTCTAGCACCTGCTTGTTCAGCTGACTGGAGAATGTTGTTCACAAATCCCAAGTGATAGGGTTTTGGCCTATCATATGTGCCAGGAGGTTGCTTTATTTGACAGATATGGGCCATACCTCTGACCACCTCAGATCATTTCTCCAACAGGCTAAGAAGCCATTTGCAATTGAATAAACAACTGGATAAACAATGGTGGTGGATGGTGGGTAAATAGCATTAGTCTGTACGTGTTTGACATTCTAAATTTACATGGCACGTTCACATCTATTTACCCACCTTATCCTAACAACCCATTAAAAATGGCCTGTGTTGGGCTGGGTGCGGTGGCTCATGCCTGCAATCCCAGCATTTTGGGAGGCCGAGACGGGCAGATCGCTTGAGGTCAGGAGTTCAAGACCAGCCTGGCCAACATGGGGAAGCCCTGTCTCTACTAAAGATACAGAACTTTGCCAGGCATGGTGATGCATGCCTGTAATCCGAGCTACTCAGGAGGCTGTGGCAGGAGAATTGCTTGAACCCAGGAGGTAAAAGTTATAATGAACCAAGATTGTGCCACTGCACTCCAGCCTGGGCAACAGAGACTCCACCTCAAAAATAAAACAAAACAAAACAAAACAAAACAAAACAAAAAAAGGCCTGTGCCTCTCTAGAAGGTTACCGTGTAGAATACACTTTTTCAAATATGCCCTTTTCTCTGAAGACAGTGATATGAATCCCACAGGGGCCAGACATTTATCTGACTCCTTGATTAAGAATGGCTGGTGGATTAGGGTTGGGGAGTTAAAATCCAACTTCATAGATGGCCAAGAAAATGCCTGACTTCTTCAGGGTCACACAGCTGGTAATGATGACCCTGAGGCTCATACCAAGACCTTTTAGTCTCAGTCAAGCACTTACTCCACAACGTGATACTGTCTTTCTGTGAGCAACTACCAATACATTATTATCTGTAAATTTACCAGTTACATTTTCAGGCAAGACATCTGTATCCATCCCATGACTGGAGGGGTTTATGAAATGAAACTGTACATGCAAGATTTTCCAAATTGCTATTATCAAGGTTTTCTGAAGTGTTTACTACCTTAGTTGGCCGTTTTGCTTTCCCTAGACATTTTTTTCAGGTTGAGTTTCTAAGGACTTTTTGGCCCTAGTATCTGCCAATAGATCCAGGCTATTTCACAGTTCCTTCTCCCCAGAGGGGCATTTATCAGCCAGCCTTTCAGCTCAACATTCACTTGGCATCAAATACTGAGGGAAAGTAACCTGACTGTTCAGCAAGACAAGCTGACCTGCTAATTGCACTCCTTGGAACTTAAGTTTCAGAGGAAAGTAAGGAGAGGAGGCACAGAAAAAAGAAAAAAGGAGTGTTTTCTTTTCTTCCAACTTGCTTTGTAACAGAATAAACACTATTTCTAGGTTAGGTGACATTTCCGAGGCAGCATAGCAAGCACCAGCATAGCCCCAAAACCCTGAGAGGACTCCTTGCCACAAATCAAGTGCCGAAATGCATTGGCCTGGAAGTGGGGGGTCTACTTGGTCAGTCTCTACACTCTGGAGTTTGACAGATTTCAATTCCATTCTTAGCTCTGCACTTTTTTCACATAGGTGACCATGGGTGAGTTATTCTATGCTAAACCTCAGATAAGCTTCCCTTTTCTAAATAGACATTAGACTTCAGAGGACTATTGTGAGCATTAAATGAGATTATGCATGGGATGTGCTTAGAAGAATGCTCGGCACTCATATGACAGCTATTGTGATTCTCATAACCTTCTAGCCAAATATCTCTTGCCTTCTCCCCCACACCCTTCTCTTCACTTTATTTGAGCAATATGCTAGCTGCCAAAAGCAAAGGTTAAACTGTGTCAATGGAGAAATAAAAATAAAAATTCACCAGCCTAGGAACCTGATGCTTCCATCACCTTCTTTCACAACATTTTAAATGAGGCCATGGCTCTCTGAAGCTGAGACACAAGTTTCTTGAGAAGAGGTGAAGGGGTTTAAAGAGTGGGAAATGGACTTTTGGCATAAAAATGAATGTATCTAGAGGTCAGTTCATCCAAAGCCTCCTGGCTCTTCCTTGCCTTATCCAAATCCCATCTCTTCCTTGTACCTCTCTTTCCAAGATTTGTCCTCCCTCAGTCCCTCAGAAGCCTCCTCCATCCTAGATGATACACTTGGGTTGAAGGAGCTAGCCGAAGAACCGAGGCTGGCCAACAGTGACGTTTCTTTTGTGCAACTCAGTGCTTTAACAAGACTGAATTGAAATGCCTTTGGAAGAATGCATGGGCTCCCTGGTCCAGCCTCCATTCACGATACTTGCCTGACCCTTCTGTGCATTTGCCTTGAGACTCCTGGTGAAAGTCACAGAACTTTGGAGCTGCAAGGTATCTTTAAGGTCAGCTCAGACAACATTCTGTGAAACCTTTCAAAGAGGAATGTTGAATATGGGGGTTTGTATCATTGGATGCACACCAGAGCTAGCAAGTCTAGATTCACAAAAAGTCAGTGTGATAATATTTTAAAAATTTGATGATGTTACTAACAACCATAATTAACATTTACTAAACCCTTACTAGAATCTTCTAGGTCCTGGGCTAAGTGTTCTTAAAAATTTCTTGACTCAGTCCTTGCCATACACCTATGCAGAGGTGACTGTTTTATTTATTTATTTATTTTTTATTAGCTAGATGAAGTAAAGGGGCTTGCTCAAGGTCACACAATTAGTGAGGATGTAGGGCTGATGTTTGACCGCAGGTATTGACTCTACAGCCTACTTCCCAAACCGGAAACACCAGGAGGTTTTACCAAGATCCTCAGGTTAAGGTTCCCAAATCCAGATGCCCACAGGGGCTAGGGTGACAATGTGATCCAGTGAGCCTGGTGGGTGTCACAAAAGCAAGGATAATAATAAATGACACATACATGACATCCTCAATGTTGAGGAGTCCAAGACACTGCTGTGGGGTTTGTGGAAACTGAAGAGCACACGTTCCAACTAAATGGGAGCAGCCATGGTATGAAGATGATAGACAGAACTTAGCATTCATTCATTCAGCCTGTCTATTGGGTGTCTGCCACTTGCCATTTGCTAGGTACTGGGGATATAGCTTGAGTCCCTGTTGGGAAGACAGATATTAAATCACAACAAGGAGTGAGTGTGAGGTCTGAAGAAATTCAGAGGTCTATGAGAATGCTTAAACAGTGTAAGGCAACAGCACCTACTCTTGAGTACCTTGAAGAGCTGAAATGACTCAAATAACAAAGTACTACATGACGGGAGAAAGATCAGTACAGTAATGCTCACAGGAACAAGATACTCATCAGTTTGGGGATGATCTTTGGGGAATGATTTTGCTGGAGGAAAAAACATACTTTCAGCTATTTTAGAATTCAATTCTATATTATTACCTAATATATGTAAAAGGGCTGTAAAGGCTGTAAAAGAGTGACACCCCCTACACCCTGCAATAAAGCTCTGGATAGAAATAAAAAGCCAAGATACATGAAGTCAAAATATGGACTCCAATCATTAAGTTTCCCTAGAGAGGGTTTTCAAGTATGGACTGGAAGTATGGGTTTTCAAGTGGACCCTACCACTTACTCACTACCTGACCCCAGGTGCACAGTCCTTAAATGTGAGAGGTTTCAGTCTCTGTGACTGGAAGTGGAAATAATAATGGTATTTCCTTATGAGGTTGTTTTAGGAAGCTTAAATGAGATAATATACATCTAGGGTCTGGCATATATTGACTGTTTAATACATAGGAATATTACTATTTTTATCATTGTGACCACTACTGCTATCTCTATTGCAAAACACCATGACTACTACCTCTATTCAATACATTCCCACCAACTGATCTTCCATCTTCTGCTTATGTACCTCTAGTAACAGGGAGCTTAGTACCTACTGAGGAAGTGCAGACTTTTGCTAAATATAAGCTCTTCCTTGGTTATAAATAAAATATATCTGTGGTCTGCAATATCTTCCTTAACTTATACCTTGAAGTCATCAGGCTATCCTGAGAATCTGCTATGTGTCAAGAACTGTGTAAGATTTGGGTGAGGATATTTAGAAAGAAAAAGACACAGACTTGGCCTTGGAGAGGTTTGGGGTTGGACTTCAGAGATATGATGAATACACAGAAGGCAGTTCCTGCCTTGGTTGGCTGGGCCCGTAGAGGGCTGAAAGAGAAGATCCCCAGGAAGGCCCATGGTCTAGAAGGCCCTGCATCATTTGTCCCTGACTGACCCTACAACCACCTCTCCTAGCACTCTACCTCTAGGGCTCACCACCTCCCAACCCCCATGTGGGCTTCCTTTCTATTACTTGAACCATCTCAACTTGTACCCACCTAAAAACTTTTGTACTTGAAGTTCCCTCTGCCTAGAATATTTTTCCCCACTATTATCCCACAGCCAACTCTCACTTACCATTCTCATCTTAGCTCATGTATCTCTTCTTCAACCATCCCTCTCTGTCCCTGTCCAGACCAACAGCTCTCTGTCACATCACCCAGTCTTATTTTCCCCCTGACCTTTATTATTATCTGAAGTTACTGCTATTAGTTATCTGCAGATGTGCTTATTTTAAGAGCAGAGCTTGCGTCTATCTTACTGTCACTGCATAGCCAGCTCCTGGCACAGTAACTGGCACATCATAGGTGTTCAGTAACTATTTTTGGAATATTTTCTGAAAGGTATGGCTGGTTAGATCAAGTTACTTCCAAGTCCAGACATATCCTTCAGTGTCTATCACCTGTGCAGTGAGCTTTTCCTGCCCAGAAAGAAGGCTCCTTACCAGAGAGGGCAGCCCTCAAGGACATAGGGAGGTAAAGCATGCCTGTCTGAATGCAAACACCCAGGCCCAACTGTTGAACAAATTGTTTTTTATTCCATGTGGCACCTGGAAGTCAAATAGATTGTAACAGCACAGCGGAAACTATCTGCCACTGGGTAATGAATTAGTTGTTAGAGAGATAGCAACACTCACAATCCCATTTGCAATCTGCAGGGCTCACAGCTGCTTCTCATTTTCATAATGCCAGAGAGGGGAAACAAAGAAAAGATGAACCCATGCAGGGCAAGAAACCAAGATGGAGGCAGTCAGGGCCAGAGGAGTTAGACTCCTTGGTGATCCGCTTAAAGCTTGGAGAGCAAACTGTCGCATGGCAAAGAAATCATCTTCCATTGATAGTTACTTAAAGTTCACCAAAAGTAATTTTAACATCTACAGAGCAGTGTACCATAGCAGTTAAATGCAGGACAGTGCTGGGTTCCAGTACAGACTCTACCACTATTAGCTATGTGACCTGAGACAAGCTATTTAACCTTTCTGTGGCTGAGTTTTTTTGCCTATGGGATGGGTATAATGATAGTAACTACCTACCAGAACTTCTGTAAGAATGGGCTGATGGAACACATGAGACCATCCGCAGAGCTGGGCACAGCACAAGTGCTCACAGTTAGAGTTGTTGCTGTTGCTATAGTAATTGGTATTATTATTATTAGCAGCAGCAGCACTTGAGCTTCAGAATATCCCAGTGAGGCCACCACAGAAGCAGATCAGAGGTTAGAATCTGCTTCGAAAATGAGGGAACAGGGTAATAAGGCTCAGAGAGGGGAAGCATATTGCCCAAGATTACCCAGCAGAGGGCCTGAAATGAGAGGGCTCATTTTATTGTGTGAATTCCAGAAAACTGCTCTTTTCATACAAACATC
The DNA here is from genome assembly GCF_000001405.40 of Homo sapiens. Lineage (NCBI taxonomy): Eukaryota > Metazoa > Chordata > Mammalia > Primates > Hominidae > Homo > Homo sapiens. Next base: position 153,529,809 of record NC_000005.10, on the reverse strand, counting down.
ACCTCCAAGAAAAGCAAAAGGTTGGGGAGTTTGCAACTGTTCTGCCCAAAGCCTCAGGATATCCATTTACCCCAAGGCCAGGCATCAGTTACGAATAACCCTCAGAGTTTATAACCATTACTAAGTGCCTCTTTGGGATTCCAAGTCTGCAATCCTGCACGTTTCTTCTCATCTGGACTTGAATTGCCCTCAACTTTTAGGGTGTTGGTATTCTTCCTTATCTGTTCATCAAAACCAACTCTCAGAAGATTTTATGATGCTCATCATGAATACTTCGATGTGATGAGACCAACTTATACTGTCCAGGGGCTGGTACTGTTTTAAGTTTCAACTCACCTTTTGACCAAGTATTTGAGACTGGGTTGAGGTCCCATAGGAATTGAGAGGTGCCTCATCTAAAGCCTGAACTCAGAGGTTACAGTGTGTTCTGGGCCAAAGATGTGAACCTGAGTCCCTTAAGGAGGAACCCAGGAGTCTGAGGTCCTCTGGTAATTCTGCTGAGAAAGATAATCATTTGTTAGCTTAAGTTCTGACCTCCTGGCCCCTCTACAAGAACTGGCATTGGGGAAAGATATTCCTCAAGGGACAGCCCTGTCAGACAATATAAGACAGTAACTCACCCCCTGGAACGCAAGCACAGATAGCCTCTTATTGTGAAGCAGAAGTGACTAGAATAAAGACAGCTAAGTCAATACAACAGCTCTTATTAACATAAAATAGGCAAACATGACCCTAGTGAGAAAACCTGCTATAATTGTTTCTGTTTGCAGACAAAAGGCCATATTCCATTGTTCCAGTCAGGATACCACTAATCAAGTTCTTGAGGTCGGAAAGATGGGGAGACTCATTCATTCTTTGTATATCTACTCTGGTAACCAACCTATGCAAGGACACATAGACATTAAGGGAGGAGGCATGATTCAAAGCAAGTGGGGGCAGTGATGTCAGCTGATTGACAGACTGGGCCAGGGACCAGTGAGACAATGCCTGAAGACAGAAGGAACGTGGAGGAAGAGAGAAGAAGGCATATAGGAGAATGCCTTATTTTCTGGATGAATGTGATGTCTACTATGAGAGGAGACACTGGATGAAGACCAGTTTTGGAAAATTGTGGGAAAACTGCCAACAACAGTCAGGAACCACAGGAGTGAAATGTTGCTGAAAAGAGAAAGAAACATTTAGCTCAGTGATTCTCAAAAGGTGGTCCCTGGACCAGCAGCATCAGCATCACCTGGAACTTGGTAGAAATGCAAATTCTTGTCCTCACACCAGACCTCCCAAATCAGAAATTCTGGGGTTGGCCTTGCAAGCTGTGTTTTAACAAGTTTTCCAGGTGAGTCTGATGCACATAAAAGCTTGAGAACCTCAGTTTAGTCCTCTGAGCCTGTACCCTTAAAAGTGAGGACTAGAATAGTGGGTTTGCAGATGTTCAGAGGCAGAGAAGAAATGGGTTTGGCTATAATCCTGAAAGACACAATCCCAAACACCATAATCCCAAATGTTGAAATCTCAGAAGATCAAAAACCCAAAAACATATTCTGGAAAAAATAATAAAAAGAAAATTTAAAAGACATTTATTCACATTTTAAAAGGGCAATGTTTCTTTTATTTGAGAAACATAAAATAATGTCTATATGTTTTGAGAAACATAAAAATGCAAAGAACACACATAGTCCACTCTACACAATAAAATATTCAATAATAACATACACATTTTCGCAAGCATAAACACTCAGGTGTACTAATGGCAGTTTCATGGTTACAACAAAGATGTGCAAATGAACTGTACTCATAAAGTAATAAGTCAAAAAGTAAAATTTACAAATGTATATAACTATGGTTGGTAATTGTGTGCACTAAGCTTTACTACTGCAATCATCTGAAATACATGATGGACAACCTAAATCTTTTGACGAAATTGATCAAGGACTGCAATGGGTCATCACCACACTTGCAATTGCTCACAGAACTGAGATCTCAAGAAATGTTCCATTTCACCAACGAAGATATACAAAAAGACATCTCTACATTTATTAAGGAAGTTTCCATGTTTTCATGTACACACACGATGCTTATGCAGAAAGTGAACATTGTGAAACTACACTTTTTGGAATATTTCTGATGTCCAGTGCAGTAGAAGAAAAGCCAGCCAGCTGCCAGAGAGACCAATTTGACTTCTGTATTTGTTCTTCCTGTGCCCTCTGCTGATTGAAGGGTGCCTGCCACCACTGAGGGCAGATCTTCCCCGCCTAATCCACTTAGGTTACACACTCCTCTGGAAACACACTCACAGACACACCAAAAGTAATGTTTTACCAGGTTTTAGATATTCCTTAATCCAGTCAAGTGTACACCTAAAATTAAGCCCACATGTCTGCCCCTTGTCAGCTCCAATATGCATCTCCTTAAACCATAATTAATTTCCAAATGAAGACAATAACAGGATAAGAGTTCTGCCTAATATGATGTAACTAACACGATGCACCTATCCTGTGTACAACCAAAAATACACTAATCCCTTCCCCAGGATTTGATTTGCAAGATTTCAAGATTTGCAATTTTAATCTTTCAAAATTGTGTTTTTCAGGAATTTAGCTATTGGAAATTTTAGACTTTAGGGATTTTGAATTTTTGCGATTTCAGTATTCAAGATTGCGGAGTTCAGGATTGTGTTCTCAAGATTATGATCAGCATCACGAAGGCATATGGCACTGGATTAAATTTGGAAGAGCCTCCATGTCACAGATTCACTATTTACACACTAGGGGATACTGGAAATAATTTAAATGAATGAAACAAACAACCCTGAGCACCCACCAAGTGCTAGTCTCTCTATCTAGCCTCTTCCCTATATTGGCTCACTTAGTCACACAAACAACCCTGTGGGGTAGTATTACTATTTCCATTTTTGCAGATGAAGAAACTGAGGCTCTTAAAATTTAGCATAGAGTCATGAAGCTGATAAGTGGCTGAGCTCAGCAGGGACATCAGCTTTGCCTGAGTCCAAAGCTGCTGATCTTTTTGCTTTGCTGCCCTGTGCACATATTCACCCTCTTTGTGTTTCAGTGTGATCCCGGGCAAATAGGATCTGCCTCCTGCAGATGATTGTGCATGAATTAATAAAGCATGTGAACAGTATTTTTAACATACCAAATGCATCCAGTTTACATTCACACAACTTTATTCACAATGTATCATCCATGATAACATTCCTGCTGAGGAGACTTTGCAGAGTTCCTTTGGATTCAGTTTCAAAGATCAGAAAAATATTTAAAGACATTTCTGGGACTGATACAGGTTGTTAATGTTTGATATTTTCATGTAAGTTGTTTTAAAACACAACCAAACATTCTGCAATCTATCACCATAACATTGCATAATAGAAAAGGTATTTGAACAAAAAAAGAGTATAAGCTTAGAATATGAGTCCTTTAAAATATACATTTTGCTTTACTATATTGGCCTCATTTTGCTGATATGCTGCAGTTATAAATATACTTCTTCAAATAATAATGCAGTGATTCCTAAGTGTTAATTCATAGACTGGGATTGTGTAGAAGTTTTCCCAATCCCAAGTTTCACTTTTGGGGAGCAACTGCGGTACATTTTACAGAACTTAGGAGCCATCTTATAGATCCTCTCCATCATTAATGTAATCAGGGCAGAAATTATTATTCCCATCATACAGATAAAGAAACAGAGGCCCATGAGCAAGTTTAGTAGCCAAGGCTGAAATCTAGACCCACTGAGGCAAACCCAGGACCTTTTCACCACAAGAAAATGACTCTGTTTAATTTCCACAGGAGTAGTTTTCTTTTACAGTGTTGAGTGACTGTTGCTAAATTACTAATAGGAAACTTGACTTTCATCCTGATTATTATATACCATGATCACAGATAACAAAGTTGCGGCAATCAAAGTGCCAGTTGTATACCCACAGAGACTCTCCAACTTACTGAGTGGAGTGTGTTCCAACCAAGCCAGGGAAATGAGGAGGGAAAACTATCTTGAGAAGTCCAAGCCAGGTTCTTATAGTGAATCAGGAGAGAGGGTTGTGGTTTGTATTCCAGCTACAGGGCTAACCACTAGTGCTTAAAGAAAGGAGAAATTGAGATGACCCTTATCTCCCAAGTTTTGCCTTCCCACTAAGAGTAAGCCAGCTGAAGTTGATTCTGAACAAGGAACACTCTGAGTAGCCCATCCAGGTTCCACACAATGAAATAGCAGAGGGAACCAGTGCCCAGCACTTGGCCAAAAAAAGAACTAGACTAGGTGGTTTTTTTTTTTAATTTTATACTCTTTTTTATTTTTAATTTTGTGGTACATAGTAGGTATATATATTTATGGGGTACATGAGATGTTTTGAGGGGGATAGTTAATGAGTACAAAAAATAGAATGAGGTTTCTTAACCTCAGCATTATTGACATTTTAGCCCAGATAATTATTTGTTGTAGGGGTTTGTTCTGTGCATTACAGGATGGTTAGCACATCCATTGCTTTTACCTAAATGTCAATAGTAGTTCTCCAGTCCTGAGTTGTGACACTTAAAAGTGTCTCCAGACATTGCCACATGTCCCCCAGGAAGGGAAAGGGGCAAAATCACTCCCAGCTGAGAATCACTGCACTAGGCTGAAATGAAAGAAAAAAGATAAATCGTCTTAACAATTGGATGAGTTGACTTTTTTGAATGGAAGCATTGTTTACACTTCTAATAAACTGCTAAGACCTGGAATTCAATAGGTGATGTGTGTCCCATGGGCTGTACCTCAGTTAAGTAAATAGTCGAATCCTTAAGAGATCCTAAGCTGGCAGTGCTAAGATGGAATGTATCTGTTCACTATTTATACAAAGACAGTTCTGCCAAATATAGCAAATATTTCCACTGGACTACAATCAACTATGAGATGGACTTAATGAGTGATCTTTGACTTTCAGTAGCAATATTTCCTACAGAGACCTGTAGGATCTTACTATATTACAGGTTCACTGGAGTTGCAATTAGGAAACTGTATTTTTCAATGCATCAACAAAGTTTGTTGGCCAAGAAGGTACAAATCCCTGAGCTAATACTATACAGAAGGCACTGGGTACAAAGACAGAATCAAGTGTTATTAGAGAAGCCTACTGTAAAAAAGTGTGACCAGCTTCACTTTCAAACCTAGTGCCATTTAGAAAAGCACACACTATATCAATTAAGTGAACACAAATTAATTCAATTCTAATGCATTGATTTTTTAGAAGTGATCTAGCCTGGAATTAAATGAGTTAGCTATGCAGGAAAGCTAGTCCAGAAGGATAGAAAGTTTATTCATCCTTATAGATGAGTTGTCTTACAAAGCCCTACCAGGAAAGATTTGTATCCAGTCAAGAGGAGCTCTTCCAAAATAAGATTTCTCAAAGCATAATCTTCAGACTCTATCATTTCGGAAGTTTGTTATCATACAGATGTTTAGACTCTGTGCCAAGAATTCTTTTTGTTTTTTTAAACTGAGTCTCACTCTGTTTCCAGGCTGGAGTGCAGTGGCGTGACCTTGGCTCACTGCAACCTCCGCCTCCAAGGTTCAAGCAATTCTCCTGCCTCAGCCTCCTGAGTAGCTGGGACTACAGGTGAGCCCCACCACGCCCAGCTAATTTTTGTATTTTTAGTGGAGACAGGGATTTCACCATGTTGGTCAGGCTGATCTCTATGTCTTGACCTTGTGATCTGCCTGCCTCAGCGTCCCAAAGTGCTGGGATTACAGGCGTGAGCCACTGCGCCTGGCCCTGTGCCAGGAATTCTGATTCAGTACATCCAGATTCCAACTATTAGCATTTCAATAACATTCCTTGCTTCTCCTGTATAATTAAGCTTGAGAACCGTTGCCTAAGACTCCAAAGAACTTTACTTTTCAAAGCTGTCTTCAAGGAACTTACAGCTTTTGGAGAAAACTAGCATGCAGTAAGAGTGGCTGGTGATTACTAATAATTCATTCAGTCAACAAATAGTCATTGAGCTGACTATTATTTGCCAGGTACTGTTCTTGATACTAGGGACACAGCTATGATGAGGACAGTCATCTCCTATATGTAGGTCACTATAACTTGTTTTCAATTCTATCCTCGCAGCATTCTTATGAAATAGGTATAATCACTTTCATGTCACAGGAAAGGGGCAAGGAGCTCGAGAACATGGCTGACCTGCACAGGGTGTCAAGGCCAGTCAATGACAGACCTGAAATTTAGATCAATATGAGTCTGATGCTGTGCTCTGTGTTCTTTCCACAACAGTAACAACATAAGCATAAATAAAAAAAAAAATGTTCAAAGCAGTCTGAGTTCAGGGTCAAATGAGTAGTAAAGTTCAGCCAAATGAGTAGTACTGTGGAAGTTCAGCCCTGAATGAAATCATTTCAGGCTGTGGTGAAAAATGAGGCTTCTTGGAGGAAGTGGTAAACTGCATAATGAGGGATATAAAATTGCAGAAAGGCAAGAGGCATTTGAGAAGGGAGATTATACAATAAGAATGAAGAATATCAAGGGATGGGGTAGGAATGTGCCAGTCTAATTTGGGAACAGTGAATGAGTCCTTCCAGTTAGAACACAGCCTTAGAGAAAAGTGGGAGAAAAAATTCCAGAGTAGGTTAGAAGTGAATTACGGATTGCCCTCAGATATCTTGCTTAGGACTCTGAACTTACCCAATCAGACAAGGGAGAACAAGAGAGATGACATGATAAGAGAGAGGTCTAATAATAAAATGGATCAGGTCTGCAAGATGGATCATTGAGAGAGAGAGAGAGAGAGAGAGAGAGAGATATCAGGAACAAGAGAATCAGGTGGAAGATATTTATACAGGAGAGCTGCTACAAGAGGCAATTCATTAATTAATAAGAATTCATACCTAACATTAAAGAAGATTTTTCTATGTTCTAGGCCCTATTTTTGATAATTTCATAGATTAATTAATTTGATCCTCAAAACCTTCCTCTGAGATAACATTTAGCTATTCCCAATTTTGCAGTTACATGGTAAGATTTCACTTTTCTACCTCCTTTAAAGTTAAGCCTGGCCATCAACTTGCTTGATCCAATGAACTGTGTGTGGAAATGATGTCCGTGACCTTGGGAATAAGGCTTTAGAGCCAGGGTGTGGCTTATTACATAAGTTCCTTTGACACTGTGATCATGTTAGGATGGTCCCTCTTTCAGCTTGGGTCCCTAAGGAAGCATGAGGAGCAATGCCTCTCCCCACTCCCCCACCATTTTGTGTTGGACTTGCAGCATGACCAAGAAATAAACTCATGTTATATTAGCCCATGGAAGTTTGGGGGTCATTTGTTACTGTGGTATAACCTGGCCTAACTTGACTGATACAAACTCTTACTCATTATGAATATGAGCTCTACGGTCAGACCACCTGAGTTCAATGTCCCTCTCCACCATTCATCAAATTGACTTCATTTTCAAAATGGGAATAACTATAGTGGCTACCTCACTGGGACATTTTAAATATCAATAATAACAACTTTACATGCCATGATACAGGTTACAGGTAGTATTTTAAACTGTTTATGTGTTCTCTGATTCAGTCCTTACAATAACCATCTTGCAAATGAGAAAACTGAGGCACAAATAGGATATGGCACTTGCCAAAGATTACACAGCTAGAAAGTAGTGGGTTCAGGATTCAAACCTAAGGCAGTTTAATTCCAGAGTCTTACACTTATCCACAGGCAATGTGTGGGAGCACTCAGCTCCCAACACAATAATTACAGGATCACTTTCTCCAGGTGGCATGAGAAAACTCAGTGTCTGGGTCCTACAGTCTTTTGAAGGGTGGGCCTAAAAAGTATGTCTGACCAGAAAAATAAATATATTGACTCTGAAATATTAAAAGCAAACTGTAAAATCAAATTAATAAATATTTAAATATCTATAAAACATGTCATTGCACCAACTAGTGTGCAGCAATGCCACTCAACTCACACATAAATCAGATTCAATGTGAGATGTGGGTGTGCTATAATATCTTTGGTGTAATGAGAGCAGCAAGACACACAACAGTGCATAGAGCCTAAAATATGCCTTAAAACAAGCCCCTGATTAGAGTTCAATGAATGTCAGCTATCATATTATTTTCATTATTGTCCTTAGCTTCAACCACCAGAGCTACATCTGAAGCTATTCAAAATTCTTCAAGGAAGCAAATTGGTCCCCTGAGCCACTCCCAAAAGGCTCTGGGAAGCTCACCACCGAGGATGGTTCTGTCCAGACTCAAGGGAAGGCAGCAAGACTGAGCTGCTTCTTTTTGCCCGGGAAGATCTATTTCTCCTTCCCCACTGAGCCAGATGTGGAAGCTGTAGTTCTGTCAAAGGGCTCCCAGACTGCCACAGGGCTGGGCATGGAGTTAAATAAAATGTACCTTTGCAGCTACAGCAGAAAGTCAGAGGCCATTGGAATCTGCAGCTGCCTGACTCCAGCTCTGCCTCTTACTCTGTTTCTCTGGTCCCTGATACTTTCTTCTGTTTATGGCATGTGTTACTCTGCATAAACTCTTCTTCCTGAAAGTTCACACTGACTCTTAAACCTTGGTCCACTGTCCAGGGTCTGCTGCATAGCCTAAGCATTGTGCTCACTCAGGACATGGTATCTGGAAATGCTTTCCATCCTTCATGCCAAGCTAACAGCCTCTGACCCCAGGCCCTCCCTTTTGTTCCCTCTTTTGATTCCGCTCATTTCATCAGCATGACTCGCAGAGTTTTCCTCATTTGTTTTTGAATTCTGGGGTAGTGATTTAATAGTAATAGGTTCAAAGATCAGACAGATCTGAATTCAAATCCTTGTTCCACTGCTTGTTAAGGGTGGGTGAACTTAGTAATTTACTAAACCTCTGTTTTTATAATCTATAAACTGGGGCCTAAAACATTACCTGCTTCATGGAAATGCTTTCATGATTAAATGAAATAAGCCAGTGAAAGTAAGAAATATAATTGCTCAATAGATGTTAGCTATTTATATTGTTATTATTACTATTACTAATTCTTACGTTTGATTTTCAGAGGTTCCCTGTGAATCAGGTGAGTAAGAAATCCAGGTTCTTATTTCATGGAGAAGGAAGCAGAAGGTTGAATAGGTTGGGAGGCTGGCCCAAAGTTACAGCATTTGTAAGGAACAGAACTATGGAGCCTCTAGCACTAGATCTAGGAAGTCTTCTGTCTTTTATTCCTTCCATTGCTTGTATACATCTTCCCTACTCACTTCCATATCCATGGGCCCCCACAAAGACAATTTTAATGATGTCCTCATTTATTGCAGCAATTTTTGTAGGTAGGCCCTTGTGTCCTGTCTTTCATTAGAACAAAATCCCCCTTTCTTCTTATGCACCAAGCTCAAACCTCAAAGAACTGCAGAGAATCTTGAATCTGGCAACTTTTGATTTGGTAAATAATTTGCCTTTGTCCTTCAAGGCTCCACTGTGGGTGGCACTGCATTGTTCTGGATTCCCCTGAGAGAGCTAGCAATTTGTGGGCCAGCACATTCACCTCTGTGCCCTTCACCTTCTCTGTAGGATGTATAAGCTAAATAAAAGTTGAATGAATAAAATAAATGAATGACTAGAGAGTCTGAAGAATTCAGAGTGAGGTGAAAGAAAAGAAACGCTGCTTGCTGAAGGAGACCAGTTGGGAGTCTGGAAGCCTTGGGTCTAGAGGTTTTATTAAATTAATAAGCACTGACATATCTAGCAAAGAGCCTGGCCCACTTAAGCTCCCTAACACACATTAGCTATTGTTACTACGAACCTAACAGGCCATGAAATCACAGATACATCTCTTTACTTTGCCTCTCCCCTGGACAGGCAGATTAACAGATTAACAATCCTTTCACTCCTACTCTACTTTGTGTAACTGGAGAGATTTTTAAGGGAGAAAATAAAATTATCAAGAGGGAAAATAGATTATTAGAATATAAACATGCCTTGAAAATGTCAAAAATGTAATCAAAATGTATGGTATTACTATTGTACTAATTATTATCATTATATAATAATCTTCAACACATGGCAATATGGTCTGATATGAAGTATTCCTACAGAGAGACTTGATGATGTTTCCTTGTCTAGGACTGTCTTTCCTTTGCTGGTTGAAGCATGCTTCTCAAGGTGGATGGGGTCACAGACTCCATGCCCTTCAGGTCAGCTGTCTTCACAGGGGCTGCACTCCTGGATGATGTTTTACATGCTGCAGGTCCTGGAGCCAGGGTCAGGCAGGGTAACTGGCTTTATTCAGTCACAATCTGGCTTCTTCAGCCGTGGATTGAGAGCAATCTACACTCACAGCGTTAAGATGAGAACTGAGTTACAGAAAAACTTCAGACTCTGATCTAGTCTGATCTAGTATCCCATAAAATTAAGTCATTCAATAGGTAGTGGTTGTCAAACTTTGGTGAGCATCTTCAGAATCATCTGCGGGGCCTGTTAAAACAGAGTGCTGAGCCCCAACTCCAAAGTTTCTGATTCAGGAGGTCCGGCCTGAGACCCTCGAATTGGCATTTCTTTTCTTTCCTTTTTTTTTGAGATGGAGTCTCGCTCTGTCGTCCAGGCTGGAGTGCAGTGGCGTGATCTTGGCTCACTGCAGCTGCCACCTCCCGATTCCAGCGATTCTCCTGCCTCAGCCTCCTGAGGAGCTGGACTACAGGTGCGTGCCATCATGCCCGGCTAATTTTTTGTATTTTTGGTAGAGACGGGGTTTCACGGTGTTAGCCAGGATGGTCTCGATCTCCTGACCTTGTGATCTGCCCACCTCGGCCTCCCAAAGTGCTGGGATTACAGGCGTAAGCCACCGTGCCTGGCCTTGAACTGGCATTTCTAACAGGCTGCCATGTGATGCTGACTCTACCAGTCCAGGACGGTCATCTTTTGAGAATCACTGATCTAGTGCTTCAGAGCACTGGCTCTGACATGGAGCACGATGCCAGGCTGAATTCACTCAGCCACTTACTAACTGTCCCCATGGCCCAGTTATTTGAACCTCGCAGTATCTCCATTTCTGCATCTGCCAAATGCATTTTTATGTAGTTTAAATGTGATAATACTAACTCATAAGTTTATTGTGGCAATTATATGAAAAAAAATACTTGCATAATATTTGTACAGTGCTGAGCACATAATGGCTCAAGTTTGGCCACTATTACTATTATTGTACATGTATACACATGATTAATAATATACATTATCATACTTTTAATCCTGAAACTACTGGCTTTTAATCCTGAAACTACTGACTTCTCAGTTTCCCTCATTAGGCCATGAGCAGCTTCAGAGTAGTGGCTGTGTATTTTTCATGTCTGTATCCCCAGGGCTGAGCTCAAATCCAGGTAGAAAGAAATAGCCACTTCAGAAATTCATTCATTTATGTGGTTACTTGATAAATGTCTACTAAGCACTTAGTCTGTGCTAACCCCAGACTAGACACAGGATACAAGGAACAAGAAGCAGATCCTTTTCTTGTGGCGCTTACACTGAGCAGGTAAAAAAAGACATCAGATAATACAAGTAAGTAGGCAAAATGGGTACTAATTATAAAAAAAAAGCTTCAAAGTTTAGTAGCACCTGTGGGCTATTTAAAAAAAATGCTTTGAAGGATGTTGAAGTGCTGGAAGAGAGGGCAATTAGAAATTTACTTTAGATTAAGTGTTCAGGGAACACTCTCTGAGAAAGTAACGTGGGAATTGGGACCTGAATAGTGAACTAGAGCCAGCCATGATGAGATTTAACGGCATCCCAGGCAAAGGGAACAGCCAGTGCAAAGGCCCTGGCAGCTTGGCCTGTTTAAGGAACTGAAGGAAGGCCTGGAAGGCTGAAATCCAGTTACATGAGAGAGGGGCAAGAGGTAAGGTTAGGGAGGGACAGGTTCATGGAGGGCCTTGTAGGCCAAGGAAGGGAGTCTACATTTACTTAAGCAGAGGAATGGAATGTTCAGCTCAATACGTTTAAAAAGTCACTTTAGCCTCCAGGTGGAACATTGTCTGGAAGGAGGCAAGAAGACAGGTTAGGAGGTTAATGTAGTGATATGGGAAAAAGATCACAGTGTGAGGGATACGGGGTTATGGTAGAGATTTTTTTTGAAAAAAGTGTGTGGATTCAAAATATATTTTGTAACTAGCACTGACAGACTTGCTGATGAACTAGATGTGGGGGTTCAGGAAAGAGAAACAGAGGATTATTCTGTGGGATTAGTGAACGCATCTCCAGCTGTGATCTCTTTATAAGGAGCTGCCACAGCTACTTAGCTTCCCATCTGCCCATATCTCATGTCTGTTTCCCTTACTTAATTTGATCCCTCCCTTTCTGAGGGCCCAGGGGACTTTCCATGGTTCTTTGAGGGTCCCTCCCCTGATTTCCAAAGCTGTGCTTACCAGCACTAGTGGTTACTACCCCTGGAAGCTCAAATGTTCTGCTCCCCACAAAACAGGAAGAAGCAAGCCCTGGGGGAGGAGGGGTATTAAGAGAGGGACCAGTCAGCAGGCGGTGGATGAAAAAATAAAGCCATGCAGGCACTCTGGGGATCTGGATGCTGTCAGGAAACTGAAAACAAGTTCAATTGAATATTCAGAGAAAGAGTGAATGTTTTCTCCTCGCTGGTTCGGGCCTCTGGGTACTGGTGGGAATGGCAGGACCACGAAAAAAGCAGAGAGCATCCTCTAGGCCTGTGTGGGTTTCCTGCGTGGCTGAGGGCAATGTATTCGTGAATGGATGTTACAAATAAGTGATTCTGATTGCAGGGCCTGCTCTCCTCCCACCTCCTGCCTCTCTCTCATACCCAATATTTCGTCATTTGTCACTCATCTTAAGATCCAACCATTAAGGCCAAGCTGAGGTTTTTATGAATTTGTTTTTCTTCATAATACGGCCATGAATGTTGCCATCAGTAGAATATTTTTCTTCAGCTCTAGATCAAGCTCAGTTTTCGTGTTTGATTTTTGTTTTTCCTTTTTTTCTTTTCCTTCCCTCAGTTGGCATGGGAACGCTGAGGCACCAGTTCAGGGAGGATCCATCAGCCTCATCACAATACGCCCCCATGCTGCCCAAGTGCTTTGATATGAAAAGTGCAGACACATTTCTTCCTCGTGAAGGGAGATCTGGACGCAGCAGCCTTTTGTCTCCCCAGCCAACAGGTGCTCCAGCTCACATGATTCCAGAGGTTAAAGAGACCTCAGAGGCCAGTCCACATCCCAGAGGAGGGAAGCATCTGAGCCAATGCCACACCACAAGGCATCAGTGTACAGGGGACTCAAATCCAGGTATTTTTACAACATTAGAATGCTGTGTGGTGTTTTTAGGATCAACTAGTCTTTTCTGAGCCTTTGTTCATTGGTAAAATCAGATTATCAACTACTCTCTTTCCCCCAAAGGGTGCTGTGGGGATCAAGTGGGATTGATGTGACTAGCACATAGAGCAAATGGGGAGCATTTCTTTTAGCCCTGAGACTCCAAGCATGGGTCTGGCAACTAGATGTTTATAAACAGTTATTTATCCAATGGGAAATTAAAGGAAATAGTTATCATATTTATGCCTGAGAAGTAGATATGGTAGATTTCTTATTTTTATTTTTTTGAGACAGAGTCTCACTCGGTTGCCCAGGCTGGAGTGCAGTGGTGTGATCTTGGCTCACTGAAATCTCTGCCTCCCAGGTTCAAGTGATTCTCCTGCCTTAGCCTTCTGAGCAGCTGGGATTACAGGCGCCCGCCACCACGTCAGGCTGATTTTTTGTATTTTTAGTAGAGACAGGGTTTCACCGTGTTAGCCAGGATGGTCTCAATCTCCTGACCTCATGATCCGCCCACCTTGGCCTCCCAAAGTGCTGGGATTACAGGTGTGAGCCACCACTCCCAGCCTAGATATGGTAGACTTCTATTCATCTATGCAACCCTTCATCTGTTTGTCCATTGACCACCCTTCAGACACTTAATGCTTATTGAACACCGGACTAAGCTGGACACAATCTGGTTAAAAAAGACATCTACCCTAGCCCCAGAGACATGTGGGATTCAGCAAGAAAAATAGCCTTTTTAAAAAATTTGTTTTTAATTGACAAATAATATCTATTTCTGTGTTACAGTGTGATCTTTTGATAGACATATACATTGTGGCATGAACAAATCAGGCTAATTAACGTATTCATAACCTCACATACTTGTCATTTCTTTGTGGTGAGAACATTTAAAATCCAGTCTTTTAGAAATTTTGAAATACATAATATATTATTAACTACAGTCACTTTGTTGTGCAATATCTCACCAGAACTTATTCCTTCTGTCTAACTGAAACCTTGTGCCCTTTGACCAACATATGCCCCAAGTCCCCAGCCTCTGCAACCACCATTCTACTCTTTACTTCTACGAGTTTGATGCTTTTAGATTTCACATATGAATGAGATCATGCAATATTTGTCATTCTGTGGTTGGATTATTTAACTTAGCATGATGTCCTCTAGTTATATTCATGTTGTCACAGATAACAGAATTTTCTTCTTTTTTTAAAGTCTCAGTAGTATTTCATTATGTAGCAATACCACATTTTTTTATCCTAGCATCTGTTGATGGGCATTTAGGTTGTTTCCATATCTTAACTATTGTAAATAATGCTGCAATGAACATGAGAGTGCAGATATTTCTTTGACATATTTATTTCAATTTCTTTAGATATATACCCAGAACTTTAGATGTTTACCATGATTCAATTGGTTGAATCATGATAATTCTGCTTTTAATTTTTTGAGAAACCTTCATATTGTTTTGTAAACTGAGGGCAATAATTTACATGATTTCCAACAGTATACAAGGGTTTCCTTTTCTTTTCACATCCTTACCAGCATTTGCTTTTTTTCATCTTTTTGATAATACCATTCTAAGAGGTCTGAGGTGATATTATGCTGTGGTTTTAATTTGCATTTTCCTGATGATTAATGATGTGGAACATTTTTTTATATATCTGTTGTCCATTATTGTATGCTTTCTTTTGAGGAATGTCCATTCAAGTCTTTTGCCCATTTTTAATAGGGTTATTAATTTTCTTGTTAAATGCAATCTCTGTCAAAATTCCAACATCATTCTTCACAGAAATAGAAAAAAATCCCAAAATTTGTATGGAACTACAAAAAAATCCCAAACAGCCAAAGCAATTTTAAGCAAAAACAAAGCTGCAGGCATCACATGATCTGATTTCAAAATATATTGCAAAGCTATACTAATCAAAACAGCATGGTACTAGCATAAAAGCAGATATGTAGACCAATGGAATAGGATAGACAGCTGAGAAATAAACCTACAAGTCTATGATCAACTGATTTTCTACAAAGGTGCCAAGAGCACACAAGGGGAAAAGGATAGTCTCTTCAATAAATGGTGCCGGAAAAGCTGGCTATTCACATGCAGAAGAATTGAATTGGACCGTTTTCTCATCCCTTACACAAGAATCAACTCAAAATGAATTAAATACTTAAATGTAAGTCCTGAAATTGTAAAACGACTGGAGAAAAACATAGGGGAAAAACCATGTGACATTGGTCTGGATAATGATTTCTTGCATATAACCCCAAAAGCATAGACAACAAAAGACAATCTTGTAAAAAACGCATCACAACATGATGGGTTATGGGCAATAATGGTTGCAGAAAGGCACAGTTTTACTCCCTTGAGAGTGTGATGCTTGCCACCTACACAGCCAGGAAAGCATTCCTTGGGTTCAGAAGATTTTCATTTGGGTCATCAAGGGTGTCTAGAAGTTTTTTAGGCCAGCATAGCCAAGGCTTAGAGGTGTGTTGCAGCAGGGTGTTTGGGGGAGACTGCAAAATGGTGTTGAACCAAAATAGAGGTAATAGTTACTGAATATAATAGGCCTTACACTCAGCATTTCACAAGCAATTTTTCATTCCATGCCTGTAAAGACTGCTTGTGATAGGGATTGTTATTAACCCCATTTGACAGCTATAAAAACTGAAACATAGAGATATTACAAAATTTTGCCTCAGGTTGCACAGGTGTAAAGTGGCTGAGGAAATTAATGTGATATTTGACAGTAACAGTAAAGTCTGGATTCATAATCACTACTCTTTATGATCTGTTCAACAGAGATACATGGGAGAATAGAGGCTATTAAAGTACTCAGGGTCATGGAGGGAAACTGAAACAAAGAACAGATCAGTGGGTTGCCCAAGATCACAGGTTAATCAGCGACAAAACTGAGGTTTAAGCCCGATTCTCCTATTTCCATTTTTTTCTCTGGACTTCACTGTGGCTCACTGACTCAGGACAAATTAAGAGACCAAGATAGAGGGTGTCAAAAAATCAAGCCTTTTTCCTGAGAAACACCAAATACCCCGTGCATCTCCTCCACTGTTCTGCTTGTGTTAGGTTTTCCCGGGGATCTGCGTTGGCGGGGGAATTCAGAGTATTTGTGGATAACAGATGTGCATATTTTCTTGGTCTAGTGAGATGAAGAGAAGTGGAAGGAGGCTGGGCACAGGGCCAGCCCTCAGCAGAACTGTCAAAATCCCAGGTCTAGTCTCTATAGGACTCCCTCTGGTTCCCAAATTCACTCCTTTCTGCCCTTCTGCTTAAGCTTCTGTTTGCTTCCTATTGACCATCATTTCATTTTTCATGGAAGAAACACCTTAATTACCAGTGGTGTTAGTCAGCTCAGGATGCCATAACCAAATACTATGGAATGGTGACTTAAACAACAAAAATTTCTTTTTTCACAGTTCTGGAAACTGGAAGTGCGAGATCATGGTGCCACTATGGTGAGGTTCTCTTCCTGACTTGCCAATGGCCGCCATCTTGCTGTGTGTTCTCATGACCTTACTTTGGTGCATGTGCACAGAAAAAGAGAAAGAGCAAGTATTCTGGTGTCTCTTATAGAGTATTAATCCATTATGAGGATGACATCCTCATGACGACAGCTAAACCCACTACCATCATGCTGGAGGTTAGGGCTTTAACAAACGGATTTTGGGAGGGCACAATTAAATCCATAGTGCCAGCCCACAGAATTAGAACTATGGTCAGAAGGATTTGTCTTTGCTATTCAACGGATGCTGGAGAGAACAAGTTTAAACGCAATTAGATGACTTTCTAACGGTGGTATCACAGGCACTGGGTCATCAAGGTAGAAGTGGTAAAGCAATTCTGCAAAAGGACCAGGTTTCTAACAGCCATGTTGATTGGGAGGTTTGCAGACTAGAGAAAGGGAACCCTCGCCACTGCTAGCCAGTCCACACACTTAGAATGGGCTCTGTCGTGTGGAGTCAAAATCTGCCAGACCAAATGTTGTACTCACTTGTCTGTGTTTTGGCCTCTTGGGCCATAGAAAATGCAGTACCTTTCCAAATATGTTTGTTTAGAAGTTTGATGATGAAATCCAAGTCTAAGTTTTTCCTTCTCAGAGCCTCCAACCATTCCTTACTGGAAAGGCTTTCCATATCCTCAACCACCTGAACATGCTCTATAAATATGACACTATTATTCCTATTACCTGCGTGTAAAGTCCAATCACTCAAGGTAAAGTGGGGTCAGTCACCAAATCTCTTTATAATTTCTGTAATAAATAGATTTGGTTCCCTCAGTTAAAGGCCTGGGGCAAAATTAATTTTGCTGCCTCAGGGCCAGGGCAAACTTTCCTCCTCTTATCTTGTCACCTTCCACACTGAATCTCAGCATCTCCTCCTCAGCCTCCCTATGCAACCTGCCTCTTTCGTATTTTTGACATTGACGTTATATGTTGCACTAAAAATAATTTATTTCAACCTGCCTCTTTTTGCAGCAGATTTGCTTTGTTTGTTTGTGTGTAACAGCAGTGTAACAGAGGCTGGGTGTTATTTCAGGGTAGACATCTGCAGGTAGGTTACCTAGAACTGGCTTCGCAGGAACGAGGAAAAGAAGCATGGCAGCAAGGCCAGCCTGAGCCAATTTGGCAAGTGCCTCCCCCGAGTCTGCCAGTTCTTTCTGAAATCACCGGCAATTCCTTGTTCTGGGTAAAACTGTTTAGAGGACTGGCTCCAAAAATTGACAGGGAGCCTGGAAGAGTAGGAGGCCTTGGGTGACGGTCAAAAGTTCTGTGTTAGCATCGTGACCTGGCTGCTACCTGACTGCAGATAAATCCCTGTGTATGCTCTCAGCCTTAGTTTCACCATATGTAAAACAGGATTAAACATCACAAGACATTATTCACAAATTCAGCAAAAAGAGTTATAACTCAGGGTCCCCAGATTGTTGGGTACACACAATGAGAAATTACACACTTGTAACTGTTGCACCTTGAGTTCTTGTTTCAAAAAAAATTCCAGGAAGAAGCCCAAAAAACAAAAACTGGTTGAGATGCCTGAGTTGGAGATGAACTTTGGTGAACTCCCTTTATTAACGTACTAAAATCCCCATCCAGAGATGAGCTTATTCAACATTTCCTATACATGCCACAAGTATAAAAGCATGATCTGTGACTGCACCTGCACCTGCACTGCCTTTACTTCACCTCTACATACAATGATTCAGCCAACCAGGTCAATAAAAGCCCTGGGTTCACCTTTATTTGGGGAGGCACTGCTTTGGGAACTATGCTCAGTGTCAGCCATCCTTACTTGTTGCAAGTAATAAAATCCCTTTTTAAAATACTCCTTGGTTGTGGTCATTGATCTGTCACTCACCAAGCAATCAGACCCGCCTGTTCTGTGGGCTACAGAGGGACTAAGTTTGGAAAATACATACTGTATCCTCTTTTTTAGAAATTAACAAGACACATTAGCATTTTAAAGGGTCTTCAAAATCCTAAAACACAGCACCCCTTATACTTTGCTTAATCAGCATGACTAAATTTATAACCATGCAACCTTCCCTCATCACCCCCAATGCTCCCCAAATAACCTATTAATATCCTCAGAACATCACAGTTCTAATGGGAAGCACTGACTAAATGAGCTCCTAAAACACTTTAAAAATGAACCCTGTAGAGTTCATTGTGTAGAAATGTGGATATTCTGCATCATTTGATGTCAGGTAACTTTATGTTTGCTGAGGATTATTCTAGTACTTGCTAAATAAAATCATCCTTTATTTGCTTATAAACAAGACCTTTGGAATATCAACAATGCAACTTAAACATATTA
The DNA here is from genome assembly GCF_000001405.40 of Homo sapiens. Classification (NCBI taxonomy): domain Eukaryota; kingdom Metazoa; phylum Chordata; class Mammalia; order Primates; family Hominidae; genus Homo; species Homo sapiens. Next base: position 153,510,674 of record NC_000005.10, on the reverse strand, counting down.
TTTTGTCTCTCAAATACTTATTCCTGACCTTCAAAGCCTTCTCTAGTCTGAACCCAGCCTATTTTTCCAAATGTATCTTGCAGAGCTCCGGAGAAACCCTCCTGCAGATATCCAAACTCATCATGTTAACTTTTCACCTCTTTCATGCACTCTTTTTCAGCGATTTCACCCCCAACCTTTCTGTTCTCATCTGCAATCGCAGACAATCTCTGTTCACAATGCCCGCTGGATTTACAGGATACTTATGATCAAGGCAACTTTAAACTAGGATCAACAAAGTCATCTCACTAAGGCAAGAAAGCTTGAAAAGTACATGTCGGAAACTGTCTCAATTACAAATGTTACCAAAAAAAAAGTCAGGTTCTGATTAATCCTCAGTTTTATCCTAAAATTCACTTTCCCAGAGCAGTTCATTCCTCAAACACTTTAGTCAACATTGCCCTATATTTCACTCCAGCAGCAACTAGCTATATATTTAGTTAAAGCAGTTTGTCTTCTCGCTCCCAAATAAGTGCAGGACCAGATTTAAATTTTATTTTATTATTTTAAGGCAGCTGACTCCAAGCAAGACCTCGAGAACTAAAAAGAACCATCTTGGCAGATGGTAAAAGGAAACAAGTAGCAAAGTGGCTCTATTTTGGGGTTTTGTTGTTGCTGTCATTTTCAGATCAAAGAGACTTTAGATCTAGAGATCTCCTTACTAAATTACAAAATCCCATCCAGAGTGTTTTTATTCTCTGTGCCCCTCATTTCAACAAGAACATTGAATTTTCTGATGAAGACTCTGGAGGGCATTTCCAAAGAAGCTTGTCATCACAAACAATTAAATTGAACAAACAATAATAGCTCTCATTTATCGGGTACTTACTCTATGCCAGGCCTTATGCTAAGCACTTTCCAAGTTGATCTCCTTCAATCTGCACAACTGTAAAAGGAGTGTATGATTACTGCCACTTTATAAATAAAAACCAAGGCTTTGAGAGGTTAAGTCAATTATAAAGATCACACAAGATCCAAAATGAGGATGATATCTCCAAAGTCCTTGCTCTTAACCATTGTATTGCCCTGGAAATATTTATTGAGCCTATTCCCTAGGCAGTTGGGTTGCAAATACAAATAATTTTATTCTCTTGCCCTCAAAACCTCAGAGTCTTAACAATAGATAAAACCTCTCAAGAACAGAAGGTAGAAAGTTGAAATGGGCCAATAAAAGCAGCACAAAAAAGAGAGCCAGTGAGATAAGAGAAAAGGAAATCAGCTGCAATTGAGGGAGGGAGAAGCAGCTTCACAGGGCTGTGGTAGCATCTGAGAAGCACTTTGGAAAATGGTCTGTTTTCTTTACCCCATACTTTACTTTCATTCTCTCACTAAATCCTGTGCATACTTTCTTCAAAATACTTTATGAATCTTACCTCTTTCATCTCTTCTACTAACACCTTTTCCAAGCCACCACCATCTGTCATCCAGACTATTGTAGGAACCTCCCCAGTCCCCTCTGTGTTACATTGGATATTGTTATAAAATTACACATCTATGCCTTTTGTCATATGACTTTGTAATTCCTTTTAGAAGACAGAGTGTGTTTTCTGCCCCATGAGCATTAGGTTTAGCTGCATACCTTGCTTGAACCAATGGAATATTAGAGAACATGACATGAGCAGAAGCTTTAAATATATTTGCATGATAAAGCTTAGCCTCTTGTGCTCCTGGAAAAGGAGAGCAGGTCTTTTTGTAGCTGCTGCCCCTTGACCCTCAATACCCAAACAAAGACACATCGGGCAGACCTGAACCCTCCTGGAGTTTAGCCTTAACCTATCCTACAGTGTAATCAGAATCATGGTTGACCTACAGACTGCAGCCTGCAACCTGCAGATGTGATTGTTTTTTAAAAAAGCTTTTGTTATAAACCACTGAGATTTTGATGTTATTTGTTATGCAGCAAAAACTGACTGACACATACTGTTTTCATGTCAATTTATCACTTCTCCTTCCTCCACAGAGGAGCCACAGTAATCTTTTGAAAATTAAATCAGATCACTACACTCCCAAGCTTAAAATCCATTAGTGATTTTATTGCATTTAAACTCCATGTCAATTCCTTATCATGACTTACAAAATACCCTGTCTCTTTCCTCAGCATGCTTTAGCTCCACTGGCCTTCTTTCTGTTCTTTGAATATACACTCACTCTCATTTAAAGCCTTTATGCTTACTGTTTTTTTTTTCTTGTCTGAAATATTCTAGAATCTAGATTAGCACTGTCTAATATGACAGTCACTAGCCACATGTGACTTTTTAAATTACAATTAATAAAAATTAAATTACATGAAAGATTTGGTTCCTCAGTCATGCTCACTACATTTCTAATGTGTAATAGGGGCAGATGTTGCTAGTGCCTACATATTAGACAGCACAGATATAGAATGTCTCCCAACACTGCAGAAAGTTCTATGGATTGCAACAAGGCTCAGTTAAAATATCATCTCTTCAGGTGATGCCTGTCCTCCCTGACCACCCATCTAATGTAGCACTACAGCTCACTCTCTGTCCCATGACTCTATTTGGCTATGTTTGTATCATTTAACTAGTATTTGAAATCATTATATGTATTTGTTTCCCAGGACGTAAACCCCAAGGGTACAGGGAGTTTGCTGGTTTTGTTTTCTGCGGTATCTCCAGGGTTTAGTAGAGAGTGGGTGCTCAATGTGGTAGAGACTATTTCAGATGGAATCAGTAGTATGACCAAAGCAGTGAAAGACTGAGAGGCATGTTTGTGGCAACACTAGGTAGTCTAGTTTGGCTGGAACATAGAGTGTAGGGTTTAGGTAAGTCTCAAAAGGAAGGCAGGCAGAGACCCATTATGGAGAGACTCATATTTTAGTCTGAGTTTGAACTTAAAATAAGATGGGAAGCCACTGATATTTTTTTGAGACAAGAAGCTTGATGATCAGAAATAGTCTTCAATAAATTGATCCGCCACCTGTAAGTGGATTATATCATGAAGATGACAGTCAGAAGGCAAAAGCCATAATCCAGTGGGAAAAGAAGAAAATGGGGATAGACTCGAGTCATAGTGGTGGTGAAATCAACACATAATATTGATTATATGGAGAAGTTGAAACCAGACACCCACATTTTAAGGCTGAATGATTGAACAGAAATAAAGTGAGAAAAGAGCAATGAGTTTGGCAGGAAGGATGCCAAGTTCTGGTTTTGATATGTTGAACTCAGAATGTATAGGCTGGAATCCTGGGGAAAGGGTAGACGCTAGTGAGAAAAAAGGAGCAGAAGGAGTGAGAGAGGACCCCTGTGGTGGTGTTGAGGAGAACATAGCCCCAGAAAGCTTCATTCTTGCAGGGGTATGTGGGGGTGGTGGAATGTTTGTGGGGGTTCTTGGAAGGGGTGTGAAGACTTCCATCAGCCCTAGGCTGCAAGAAACAAAGACATAAGTAGCTGGATTTGCTGATGAGAAATTCTTCCATAACCCTAGAATACTTGGTTCATTACATCAACATAGAAACCATCTTTTATTTATTTATTATTATTATTTTTTGAGAAGGAGTCTCACTCTTTCTCCCAGGCTGGAGTGCAGTGGCTTGATCTTGGCTCACTGCAACCTCCACCTCCCATATTCAAGTAATTCTCGTGCCTCAGCCTCCCAAGTAGCTGAGATTCCAGGTGTGTGCCACCATGCCAGCTATTTTTTGTATTTTTTAGTAGAGGCAGGGTTTTGCCATGTTGGCCCGACTGATCTCGAACTCCTGGCCTCAAGTGATCTGCCCGCCTTGGCCTCCCAAAGTGCTGGGATTACAGGTGTGAGCCACCATGTCCAACCATATTTTAAAGTATTCAGAGTGATCTTGGAGTAAGGAAGAAGAGCTAGTAAGTGCAGTGTAAGTTAAATAATTTTCCCAAAGCTAATAAACTACTTGGAGTCTAAATTCCATGCGGGCGCTGTGAGCTTCCTGTCCCCCAACATTCTTGCTTTTCAGTGTCTGGAGTGAAGATTAAACAGAGGGCTTGCATTAGATGTTCTTTGTTCTCCCTTGTAGGTGTGACACCTCTATAGCCTTTACCAGATAGATTAGGGATGCTGGAGCTTATCCTGCTTGCTCAAGGGAGACTCCTTTCTAATTAACCACCTCAATTAACAAATGGAGCTTGGCACAGAGCTAAGATGAAGTTCTTCAATTTAACATTTCCTTCACACATAATTTAAATCTCAGCATCCTTTTTATAATCACACACTTGGAAAGGGATCTAGAAGCCATCTAGTTCATTTTCCTCCTCTGTGAAAGAATGAATATATGTATGAACACACACACACACACACACACACACACACACACACACACACACCCTTCTTGCCATCCTAATAAGCAACAACTCTTGAGTATTCTGGAGCCAAGCCAAGAAGTATAGCCAATTCCATCACCTCATGGTTAGGAATGCCCTAGCATACCTCCCCCTCTCTGCCTTGCTATGCTCAGTGGCTTCCAATGCCTGAGACCATCTAGTCTTGGCAGCAAGTGATCTGCCAGCCCTTGACTTGCACATGTGATGTGGTAGAGAGAAGCTAGTATCTGCCCTAAGACAAGTGAGTGACCTAGTTTGCAGGAGATTTTTCCAGGGCACCTCATTCTCCTCTGCCTAGACCAAGATTCTCAATCCAAGTTGCCCATGGGGCTGGATTTCGACATTCCACAGGGGAATTTACTCTCATTTGGCTCTCTTCCAACTTTTATATCTGAGCTCAGAAGTCACCTCCTTTGAAATGCCTTCTTTGACCACTTACTTTAAAGGTGTTCTTCTCTACCATAGTGGTGATGTCACTACATCCTATTTTCTTTATGACCCTAGTAATGATCTCTCTCTATATATTTTATTTGTAAATGTATTCATTGTCTATCTTCCTAGCTACAATAGTGCTCCATGGAGACCAGGACTATGTCTGTCATTTCCAATGTTCCCTCAGTGCCTAGCAAAGTGTGGAACACACGCTGGTTGCTTCTATTGGCCAGCTATTGCTGCAAAACAAACCATTTCCAATTTCAGTGGTATATAACATTGAGCATTTCCTACAATGCTCACAGATTTTCAGGTCAGCTGGGATAGCTCTGCTTCAAACTTTAGTCTGTGGGCTGTGGGTTGACTGGGACACTTCTACTTACTGTATTTACCTTTCCTATGAGACGAGCAGGCTCTCTGGGGCATGTTCTTCTCATAATCTCTGCTTCAAACATATCTACTAATATCTAAGTTGCCAGAGCATGTCAAATGACCAAATGTGACATTAATGAAGCAGGAAGTTATATTTTTTTCCCAAGGAGTTTGAGGGAGAGAGAAATAATTGCCAAATAATAATCTCATCTACCACGATGCTCCACAAATATCAATTATTGAATAAACAAGTGCACCTTCCCCCAAATCAGTTGACCTTTGTAGCTAAACCACTTTTCAATCATTACAGTCTTGTGCCTCATCAGTGTTAGTCTTAGGATATCAGTCCCCTGTAAATCCATGACCTATGTAAAAGAACCATACTGCCCTGTTTGCCTTGGACAGGAGCCAGCTTGAGATCTCTGCTTGTTTAACAGAGGTTAAAGCCTCCTTCATTTGATCCTGGCTCTCCCTGTCCCCTCTTCAGGTATAGGGAAGGTTTCGTTCCTGCCAAAAACTAGAGGGGATGGAACCAATTAGGAGAACCTACCATCTGGTGGTGTGGGCTCATCAGATTTGCAGCCAAGATTCCAACTGGGACTGTTAAAGAGTTTGTGCACAATAGCTTGAGTGTTTGAGTAGAGCAGGAAATGTCCTGGTCACTGGGACAGAGTATTGGTGCCTCAGGATCACCAAACATTTTACAGCCGACAACCTCAACTTATTATCAGAGTGGCCTGGAGAGACCACCTCCCAGTCGCTTCTATGTGGGTGAATGGCTAGCACTTTCTAACTGTTCTGTGAACACAGGTTTGCTCGTGGCTGGACAAGGATTACCAAAGACCCCTACAGCTTTGATTAACTCAGAAGCCTGAATTTCAGACCTTTTGCCTGTCCTGACTTCTGATCTTGACTTACCCACCAGAATCCCTTGTATGTGCTTGTCTCATTGGTGGCTCTTCTGACTTTAGCATGTTGACTTTTTGTCTGCATTGGTTCAGCTCCAGCCTGTCTGAATTTTCTTTTCTGAAAAGATGTGCAATGGGGGACATCTATATATAGATAGAATATATATATAGAGAGAGTAAATGTATTTATTTACAATAAATACATAAAATAGACAATAAATACATTTACATCTATATATAGATAGTGTATATATATATATGCTTAATAGACAAAAATATATATATATATCTATTTTGCCTCTCAAGCATTCAATCTCCATTCTTTTGGTAATAGCATCCTGATTCCCTTTGAGGGAATTATTCCTCCCCCATGTCCGTATGGTTTTGGTGGGCTGGCTTAAATCCACAATCTTTTGGTTCTTCTCACTACCCCAAGCTCTAAAAATGATGATTTCACTAGGCCCATGTCAAGCAAAAGACTACAATATCCTGGCCACTGTGTCATATTCAGAAATGAGCATGTGTCCTAAGTTTTATCCAATGACATCAGGCCCAGGACTTTTGTGGAACTGATGAGAAAAGAGAAGTTTCCTTTCCACTGGACTTGTAGCTGGGCAGGTGAAGGCTGCCAGTGCTGGGATCTGATATATGACATATCTATGCCTGAGAGTAAAGCCAGTTTAGAGAAAAGCTAAGCATAAAAATCTAGAGGGCATGTCTCAGTCCTGATGACATCAATCAAGCCCTTGAATTTGGCTATACCTGAAGTTAAAACTATCCAGTTAGTTGGGTTTCTGTCACTTGCCACAAACAGTCCTGACTGCTTACTGCTCAAATGGGCTTTCCCCCTTATTTCTATAAACAATAATTTCTTAAGCCAAAGAAACTCTTATGATCCACATATTTCGTCCATTTTCATGGATTGAATCATAAATGAAAAGAAATGCTTTCAGACTTAGCATAGCTATATATTTAGATCTTGGATAAACTTAGCCTTAAGATTTCAATTTTCCCTATCCATAAAATAGATTCATTTATGGGTAATGAACACCTTCCTAGGAAAACACTAAAAATTAATTAGTTACATTTTACTTATGTGCATTTATGCTAATAGATAAGAAGCCTGGTTAATTATATTACCCTGCGTTTGCCTAGCATGTTTGATTTTTCAAAGCTCTTTCATACAAATAATGGCACTTGCCTGTTCTAATAAGTTTGAGAATCAGGTATTAGCACCCCATATTATACATCTGGAAACTAAACTGGATATAAAAGCTTTTCAAGGTTACACAGCAAGTCAATGTCAGAACTCACATTAAACAAGTTATCTCAAGTTCTGCACATACTAGAAATTTTATTCAATTTCATTGGAAATTGTTCTACTGGGTTTATAGTTCCCTTAAAATCACAACAAAATATGTACAAATGATTAAAATTTTATTGAGAGAAATATCACAGCACTGTTTTTAAGAAAAAAAGGGAAATAAACTAGATATCCCATAAAAGGAGACAGCTTAAATAAATTAGGGTACATATGTACAGTGGGCTTTTATGAAACCATTAAAAATGAATGTGCAATAATAAAAGTAGCCTAAAGGTTGTAATATGCAAAAAATCATGTTATAAGACAGTAAGATAAATCTATTAATGTTTAAATTGTTAGGTTCAAAAAAGGATGGAAAATGTATCCTTAGTACTATAATTATACAAGTTTTATTGTGTTTGCTGTCTCTGTTCCTATAGCTTTCTGTAATGTATATATTACTTTTGTAGACAGACTAAAGGCTATTCTCAAACTTTACTTTCATCCTAGAGGTTCCAAACAATGAACACATGGAAACACGCCTAACCATAGGGTATCAATTTCATTAGCCTCCAACTGCCTCATTTGCCCCAGTTTTGCCTGCCTCCTCAACCTGGACCTCCCATGGCCCTGGGCTCCCCTGTGCTTTCTGGACAGCAGGCTGGGACACACCAAAGTCGTAAGATGCATACAAGGCTCATACATCAATGGCAAACCCAGGGCTTGAATCAGAAATTCTTTATTTAGAAGATGGAACCTTATACCTTATTTAGGACCCCTCATGACAATAGTCCAGCGGGAGCTAAAATGAGCTTTCAATTGGACTTACACCTGATTTTCACCCCCATAACTTTGGAGCTACACAGTAATAACCATCCATAGGTATTTACAGCACAGCCTGTTGGAACTCTCAAAACTCATAATATCAAAAGCATTACCCTAAGCAGCAATGATTCAGGCTTATTCTTGTCACTGCCATCTATTCTTTCATTCATCTAGCACCACTGAACACTATACTGTGGTGGAGACTGTGATGGGAAGCTAAAGTAAACAAGGTCATTGACCTCACATTGCTTAGTCCAGTTGGGCAGGTAAGACACGTGTTCAAGTGACAAGGTGAGTAAAACCTGGGGATAAGCGTGACCATTGCTAGGGAGATGGTAAAAACAGCTGAAGGGCAGAAGAGCATGTGAATATGAAAGAGAAAAAAGGCTCAGTGAAGAAGGTAAAATAAGAGCTAGGGCTGACCAGAAGGACAGAATTTCAGCAGAGCAGTATGGAAGGAGCAGTTTGTAAGTGTAAGTGAAGGAAATGGCAGTGTGAATTTGAAGACCACTGAGTTGTCTGATTGGAACAGAGGCTGAGCTTCAGTGCTATGTATGTCTTCCTTGTTAAAATAAATGAGGACTCTGAATGAATCCCTGCCTCCACACAGCCTCACCAGTTCTCCAGGCACTGCACTGGATCAGCCTCCAATCTCCAGGAATGCCCATGGGCACACAGAGAGCCACATACCATGACAACGCACCCCTAAACCAAGTCATCAGCTTCCCTTTCCCCTGGCCTCTGTCCCCATCCTCCTGCCCATCTGCCAGACTCCATCCCAAACTGGAGATGGAAGTAAAGAAACAAGGCCATTGAAACACAAGCCAGACGTCTTCAGCAAATGTGAATTTGGCAAAGTACTATCAAGCATCTGATTTCTGATGAGAAAACAGAAATCTAAACACGGCACTTCTCTGCTTAAAACCCTTCCATGGGTTCTTTAGTGTTTGAGCTAAAGATCAAAATCCATAACAGAGCCTACAAGGCCTGGCCAGGCCTCTGCCCAGGAAGCTTCTCAAACACTCCTCCTGTTCCCATCACTGCATCACCAAAGCCTTCAGTCCTCAGCTCAAGCACCTATTCATCCTCCTGCACGAGCTGGTTCCTTTGTATATGCTTTCATAGAATCATGGCCCTTTCTTTCAGATTGTTTATTACAACCTATACACTCATTCATGTGATCATCTAATGGCAGCCTCCTTTATTAGCTGGTGAGCTCCATGAGCACAGGGCTGCTTTCTAGTTTTGTTCACAATAGTAAGCACTCCATAAATATTTGTTAAATATTGAATGAATTCATCTGAGGCCCCAAAGTAGGCATAATGCTTCAGCATTTGCATACAGAATGCGCCCTGAATGTGCAAGTTGGTGGAAGGGAAGTCTAGAGCTTTCCTTAGACACTTAGCTTGTTTAGGGATCCTCTTGCTAGCCAAAGGTAGAGAACTTCTATTAATCATATATCTCTGGTGTTTTCCATATGCTGCCAGCATAGAAATACAGCCCCAGAAGGACTCTCAGAGACCATGAGCTTCATTTTATAAATAAGCTTGGGGGAGGGGATGTTTCTCCAAGGTTATACCTAAACGATTCAAGAAGGTAGTCCAGCATTTGAATCCATGTCTTCAAATCTCAACTCAGTATGCTATTTACTGCATCAAACCTGCCATTACAGGAAGGTGTGTGGGGTGTGTGTGTGTGTATACAAATATATACATATATATTTTCCCATCTACATCCTACCTATCTTTCCAAATTCAACTCAAATGTCCTTGTTTTATGAAACCTAAATCCCTCCAACTAAAGGTTTTCCTTCCTTCCTCTGAATGTGTGTGTGTGTGTGTGTGTGTGTGTGTGTGTGTGTGTGTGTGTATGTAAGAGGGGGAGAGAGAGAGAGAGAGAGAGAGAGAGAAAGAGAGGCAGATTTGGTTTATGCCTATTTCCTTTATAAGAACCTGAGCCCCTTAAGAGGAAAATCAATGCCTAATGCATTTTATTTTTCTCAATTTCTAGTGCAATGCCTTGTAATGAAAAATGGATTTCATCTCTTGCATCAGCTGTCACCAATTTGAGGCCACGTGTAGATTCAGTGGGAAAAAATTCTGTAATCAACTAATGCTGTCTACAAAGGTATGGAGTGGGGCAGTGACAGTACATATCCCCATAGAAGGTGATAATAAAAGGGTTTCGGATGAATGAATGAATGAACAAATACATGAAGCTTACCAGTTTTCCAAATGTGCTATATGATCACTTTATCCTGAGTGGCTGAGAGGAGAGCAGTAAGCTCACTCATCCCAGCAGGATCTTCAAACTAGTCAGGGAAAGAAATGTTTACAAGGATTTTTCTATCCATAAAAGCTGATGATTATCAATATTATAATAAGAGCCAAGAGTCAACCACAGACAAATGTCAACACTTGTGTGCCTTAATGTAAGGGCACGGGTGAAGATTGAGGAGCCAACTTCAGACTGTAACATTAACCAGAGAAATGTAGACATCTGCCATGGAGCTGAGAACATAGTGTGGTGCAGGAGGCAAACTCCCAAATCTCCACCACATGGTAACAAGCATATGCAGCAGTGGTTGAGGGGAGGCGAGGAGGAATATTGTGACTTTACCCACTCAAAATACCCTCCTCCCACTCCACAACCAAAATCTGCTCCACCCTTTAATGCCTGCTAAAGTTCCACCTTCCCCAAGAAGTTTTCATCATCCACAGTCATAGCTTCTGCCTTGGAAGACTTAGCTCTTAAGCTTGAATCATAAATTCCACTGTGACACTTCTACCGTTGGGCTATTTCACTGCTATGGTACTTTTCTCTGTCCATATATTCATAGTTTTTTTTTTTTTTTTTTTTTTTTTTTGAGACAAATTCTCGCTCTGTTGCCAGGCTGGAGTGCAGTGGCGTGATCTTGGCTCAATGCAACCTCTGCCTCCTGAGTTCAAGCAATTCTCCTGCCTCAGCCTCCTGAGTAGCTGGGACTACAGGTGCGTGCCACCACGCCCAGCTAAGTTTTTGTATTTTTAGTAGAGATGGGGTTTCACTGTATTAGCCAGGATGGTGTCAATCTCCTGACCTCATGATCTGCCCACCTCGGCCTTCCAAAGTGCTGGGATTACAAGTGTGAGCCACTGCCCCTGGCCATATTCATAGATCTTTAAAAGGAGAATGCTCATTGAGTTTTGGAGCCCCCCAAACTGGCTTTAAATACTAGCTTAGGTTTTTATTTGTTGCATAATATAAAGAAGACACAATCTCTCTCAGTCTCAGTACCATCATCAATGAAATGGGGATAATCACCTTTCAAGACAGTTATAAAACTTAAGACAACATCTGCAAAGTATTTGGCACATAGTAGGTCTTCAAAATAATTCTTGTTTATCCCACCATCAGCCACCATTCTCTTCATTACTGTATACACACTAATTTTTTTGAGAGTAGGAGTTATACATCTTTTGTGTCTTTTATTATTTTTGACAGGGTAAGTAATAGATATTATTAGAAGAAAATAATAAAATGATGAATGCTGACGATATAAATCAGGTATGAGTAGATTGGCCTACTTACAGGCCTGCCCAAACAACATAATTTGATTACTCTAGCAATCAAACAGGAAGTAATGGAAACTTTGGTTAACTTGGGAGTTTATGTATTTAAAAAGGGCAGCACTTCTCAGCTCTAGAAAATAGAAGTTAAGCAGGAATGTGGGCCTAGGGTTGCTTAATGCCCTAAGTTTTTTTTTTAAAGATGCCAGAAATCTGGATTTTTATGCCAAATATGAAAAAGCATTGTGTAGGTCAAGAAAAACAAATCTGTGTTGCAACTCTGAAGTTGATGAGCCATGTTCAGGCAAGAGCTAAGGCCATCTCTCTGTTGCCAGTGCCTAATGTCTTGTTAGGAAGCCCCTGGGCTTCCCCAGTAGGTCCATGACAGAGGGCATCCCACTGTAGTTAGGGTTGCTACCTTTCACCTATTGTCATTGAGGCTCTGAACATTTTTATGCTGTGTAATTCCCTGACTCCTACAGACATTTATTCATTTGTATTAGAGGCATTTCCAAGTGTTCTCAACACTAAACTATAGATATACATGGTCTTTCTGACAGCAGTTTATATTCTGGTGGTGAAGCTAACCTATAAAGACACAACACAGACAACATTGCAGTGCTATCAATCAGGGCTTGCAAACTCAATGCTTGCCAAAGCCAGCAGGTAAAGAAAATGGGAAGAATGGGCTGATTGGGAAAGAGGCCATGTAGATGGGGTTTACTCTGTCCCATCTCAGCAAATTGAGGCTGCATAGACCTGGGCCCTAGTGTTGCCAGATATTTTAATATTTAAAAATATTAGTCAAGACAAGATGTCCAAGTTCTAATGTGAAATTCCATGGTTCTTACACAGTGTATGGGCCCAGAACTCAGTCTCTGTGCTGGAACTGGCTTGTGGATGGCTATATTTGGTGACCCCTTCTGCAGATAGATAACCCTATTTATCGTTGAGGCTCAATTCAATCACCACCTCCTAGAGACAAACTCCACTCTTCAAGGAATCTTCAATACTCCATACAAATTGCTGCTATAGCACTTACAACATTACATTTTAATTTTCTCTTTACAGGATAGAAAATGTCTTACTATGGATAAAGTACTCCAGGGTGGGGAATGCAACTTACTGTTGTCTGCATTTGTAGCACTTTATGTCATGCCTAGGTTTGGTTGAGGGCTCAAAAATGCTTACTAAAGGGATGGAAGACTTTTTAGATTAAAGAGATTCTTAAAGTGTAATCCCCATAATAATTGCTATAGAATTCCTCCAGGGCCTACTCTTGAATATCTTGATTCAAGAAGTAAAAAGTTCATCATGAGTCTTGCTTTAAACAAGCTCCCTGAGTGAATTTTAAGTGCACTGAAGTTTGTGAACCTCTGGGCTAAACTGTTAGCTCCACAAGGAAAGAGGCTGTGCCTTCTTTCCTGGCCCCTATATTCCTAGCGTCTGGCCCAGTGTTTGGCATGAAGTAGGCATTCAGTATGTACTTGCTGAATGAATGAATGAATAAATAGGTGAATAAATTAAAAGGTAAGAATTAAGCTGCAACTATGCTACTCAGACCTCTAATAGTAATAATCTCAATCAGCATTTCATTTATTCCTTTATTTACACTTACCACAAAGGCACCAAAATAAGCTGGGTAGCTGATCAGTAAATATCTTCTCTATGCACAATCTCCCCAAACTCTACCCCTGTAAGCTTGGAAAAGTGCTTAAAGGAGATCCCAAGGCATTGGGTTGCTGATTCAATGGCTTTACTCTTTAACAATGGCAGACCAGGGAAGCAAGAAAGATTGAACACGAAGAAGGCACCAAACTCTCACCTTGGCCAGTAGTAGTAGCCATAGTCCTCTTCTATCTTCCCCACCTTCCCTACCATATAACCACCTCTCCTCATTTTTAGTCCCCTGCTGCTAACATGTCTAGCATGAACAGGTCCCATTACACTTCCTCTCCCTTCCCTTCTCCACCCTCTGGTGGAGGGACAATGAATAGCAAAATGCAAAGGGAAAAAATCAAATGACAGCAAAAATTATGAAAAAAAAACAAATAAAATTTGGTCATTTTCTAGATCTAAGACTTATTGGGCAGTTAATTTAAGGCAACTACTAATTCAGATTTCAAAAAACACAGCACAGAAAATTAGTCTGAATAAGATGCTTTTCTTGCTTTTCCATGTATCAGTAATGAGTACATTCTTCCTAAAACTGCTTTGCTCCCACTGACATTTTTTACTCAATTAAAATTGGGACAGATGTAAAGTTTTCCCAAACCAATGGACCACAGTGAACACAGCCCTAAAGTATTCCTAGCCTTACATGAAATTTAAGAGAGGCTCCTCCAGCCAGGCCACCATTTCCACCTAACTTGCCCAGTACCCCCTTTGGGATCTGGGAGCTAAAGAAAAGAAACACAAAGTCTAAGCACAAAATAAGATTATTGCTTCTCAGATAATCCCCATAACAATGTTTCCCACTAGACTGTAAGCTACCTGAGAGCAAGGGCATTTTATCATCTCTGTATTTCCAATATCTATTTCAGTTTATAGCTTTGAAGAAACACTTAAAGAATTAACTGAACGAACAAGACAGGAATTCATGGAAACCTGTACACTAGTTCATGGATGGCAGCATCAAGTTCAAGAACTCAGATTCATCCACTCCAGGCCTGTTGACCAAAATGAACAACATTGTCTGTATCATATTTCTGTCTCCCTAATAAACAGTCATTAACCCTATTAGAGATCAAGTCTTAGGTTGCTGAGATAACAAGACAGAAGCACCACCTTTTGCCTTAGAACCTTTTCTCCTATTTTTGTCTTTTATTTTCTTGCTGTGCCAGTCAACATCTTGACACTACTAGGAGAGCAGTTCACATCTCTTTCAACCAAAACCTGCTGTAGATATTTCTCAGCAGCATGAGTGAATACACACACCAGCTATTTATTCTTGATTCTCTATGCAAGTAATACAAAAGCTATAAAGTATGACAAAAGCTATGGAGCCCTGCTCCAGGAAATAAATTAGCACATGTATATGCGTTTAAACATTTATAGGTACACTGATGCCCCCAACCAAATGCCCCTTCCAAAGACCCTAATCAAAGCCACATTAAAAAGTAAAGAAAGGTTATCTAATAGCAAAATAGCTACTCAGTATTATTCTAGATTCCCAGAAAGATAGTTTCATAGAACTAAAATTCAGCAATTAAACTTCAGCTATTTTTTTAAGGGTAGTGAGTAACACAGTAGATAAGATTTTCAACCTCAGCATTACCAAAATGAAGAATTGCTATTTTATTTATTCAATGGACCAGTCCTGTGCAAATCATAGCTACAGTTTGAAACACTGTAAGTTTTTCTCCTTAGGTACTTTATTAGACCTCTGCCTTACAAGACCCTGAAAATTCCCTTTCATTTCTTGGGTAATCCCACTAGTTGATTAGGGTACCATAAGAATCAGTGTATCTGTCACAGTATCCAGGAACATGGACCTTCAGGTCTCAAAACCACCATTTGCTTCCTGAGTAACCTTGGGCAAGTTATATAATCTGTTGTAGCCTCAGTTTTCTCATCTCTAAAAGGAAGATAATGTCTAGTACTCTGCAAAGCTCCTGTGAGGATTAAATGAGCTAACACATAAAAAGCAATTAGTGCATTACATGGGCTGTAGTCAGTGCTTAATACATGGTAATGAATGTGACTATAAATGACTATAAAGTATTTATCATAGTTCTGATGCACAGTAAGTTCTCAATAAATGAAATCTGCTATAATTATAGTTCTTGGAATTTGTAACAACATTATTTTAGGAGTGGTCTTTGGGATAGAAAGAATTCTGACTTCTCATTTTGAGACTTCAAAGCATAGCCTATTCAAATCATTGAGAACTCACCAGTGGGACTATGAGAAAGACACAAAGGAAATATGGTCCATGACTTCCACCAGAGACAGCTCAGCAGAAGTCACCAAGTCAATAGTGACACACCAAGACTATCGTGCCAATTCAATCCAGTTTGGGGTCTCAAATTGTTCTTGTGAATTCAGCTCACATTTCCCTGCCATAAATTTTTACTTGAGCTTAATCCCTGAAGGGAAAATATGTTTCCTGATTAATTTTTATGCTTTCATCTGTCATGAAAAGCCAATCATGTGAGCACAGGCTTCCTTTTCATTCCTAGTTGCCAGGAAAACTCAGAATGGTGTTTGTTGCCCACATTTTACAATGCATTCAATTCAGATGTCAGAGATTTATCTATCCCTTCTTCTTGAGGCCACCTTTGTTCTGTTTGATGCTCAATGACCATCCTACAAACTGTGCCTTAAACAACCAATTTCCTCAAGCTATTTTTAAAATGACCAAGGCACCAAGTTTTAATTATTGGTCACTTCCGAAAATGAAGAACCAGATGTGTACAACTTCTCAGCTATTATTTCTTATCAAGCTACATTCTGTCCATTTAACATGTAGATAGGAAATGCCTTAAGCACTTTAAACCACATTTTCACAAACTCAGGACCCTTAATTCTATGCCTCTCAGAAGATTCGTATGTGTAAAACTCTCTCAGCTGTGCCAGAAAACCTCTGCAAGGTAGGGAAGATGCAGTCAACCCAAGCACCCATCGTGCTGGCATTAAAGTTAGCTGACAGTGAAAAAGCAAATCCATTACATGAAGCATTGCAGGGGCTAAAATGCCAACTGCTGGAATCACTCAGAAGCCTCTAGAAATTTTTCTTGGAGGGCTTTCTCTTACAAAGACGAATGGCAACTGAAGTCATTTTTGCAACACCACCACCTACCCACAGGCCCTCCTTTCATTGGTCTAGCGCAGAAAGACATCTCAGAAATAGAAGCAATTACTTACATCTATAGGTCATCTCAAAGCTGTCGCTGATGTTCACAATATCAATCTGGGGGAGCAGCTTCGGGGGCTCTGTGAGTTGCGACAAAGCAAATCTAAAAGCAGCATGTTCCTGTGACTGCTGGTTTGGAAATAATCCCCCTATGAGAAAAGAAAATGCAACATGGTATATGGGCTAGAGACAGGTTTTAGTTCCTCACGACTCACTCCAGATGAGTCCTTTTCTTCTCCCCATGCCAAACTCACTAGCTGTAGCCTTGAGTGGTAGAGATGAGAGTTCAAATAGGCTTAACTGGACACTGAAACTTAAACTCCTACAGATGAGCTTTTTTGTGACATGGGCCTCTAATATCTATTACTTTGCTCAAACATTTGATTGTGTACCCCTCAACTCAGCTAAAGTCAGAGAAAACAGGAGACTTGTGCCATTTCTCTTCTTCCTCCCTTGTGCAAACCACCTAGGAGCTGCTATTCTCTTATATAAACATACACATAAGCCCCCTCACCCTCTAGTCATGTCTAATTTTTCTTACATCAGCCTCATCTCTCACCAGAGAGCCTTACGGGAAGTAGGTACTAATCAGTGCTGCAGGGTGATTGAAATCTAGCTCTGGGACCCTGTGGGCTTCTCCACTACTATAACTGTTTACATGGACAGTTTTTAGTCTTTGGCCTAGCAAGACCTGCATGCAATTTAACTATTCTATTGCCCCTAAGGTTTATTATTCATTTTCTCTAAAAACTCTTGCTTTTCTGCAAACAATGTTTTGCTTACTCTTTCACCACACATGATCCCAGTTACCTAGGAATGACTTGTTACATAAGGGATTGCCATTGTGTGTTTGCATGGTGGAACCTTGTGCTTCAAAGATGTGGGATCTTAGGCATCTCAAGAGGATACAAACATTCTATTCTAGTAAAAGGTATAGTAAAGGTGCCTGATGGGATGCCTGTTCCGAGAAACAAGAGTCCATGGCTTACCTTTGTATTTACTGTCAACATGTAAATCAATTACATTTCTGTGAATTAAAATCAGCCATTTCTAGAGACTGAACTATAATGATGTTTACATAGAAGTTTATCTCAAATCTGACAGTAATCACAGTCCAAACATAATGCACTTCTAACTTCTTGTAGAGTGGGTGTCTGTTTTTAAGAACCAATAAATGGATTGCAAGCCTTTTGTTACAGATCACACAAATAGAATCAAGTACTACCTGATGGCAGTGATATTTTCAGCATTTTGTTCTACAATTTAATGCTTCAATCTCTTTTTTTTTTGAAAACAGTAGCAATGGCTTTATCAGTTGAACAACCAAGTTAGGGCTAAATATAATTTTAAAAATATGCAGAGATACATGAGAAAACATAGCACATACATGAAACATCCTCATGCATTTATACCATTTACTATATACACAAATATACTAGACAAACACTTCCAAGCCACAAAGGATAGGTAGTATATAAGCACAAATGTAAACAATGCCACATGTAAGAGCCAGTGATTTCCACATGTACAAGTGCTCCCATTTTAAAGAATGAAAACAAAAAAAATTCTTGATTATGATGCTCCCCCTTCCCCCCAGATGACCACACCCCAAACACTTCCCTGTCCCCTTTCTCCTCCTCTGCAATGAATGAAAGAGAAAGGATGGGAGGTTGAGGAGTAGAAGGCTACGGGCTGGGCTACAAGGGAAGTGTCTCCCCTGAAGGCAGGAAGTTTTGCGTGTTAGGCACTAACACACAGATACGTACACACTTCAGGATGTAGCTTAACAGGTGTCAGGAAACAAAGCAAGTTACTCCATGGCCACTCCAAGCCGCCAGCTAGCTGGAGAGGCTGAAAGAGATGGGTACTGCAGCACATGTATGCCCGACAAAATATCAATTGCACCACATCCCCCCTCAAACACACACTCACAAAAGAGCACAAACTCCCAGCAATGCGAACTTTCCCTAGTGGAGCTATCTCCCTACCAGGGGAGAGAGACTAGAAACCAAACCAACGAAGATGCTTCCAAACACAGCAGCTTGCTTCATTCCGGGACACAAACGACACTGACATGCTGGTCACACGGAAGCCCCAAGCCCTTGTGGACATGCTTTGTGATTGGTGTTATTGCTTCTGTTTGTTTTGCTTTCCCTCATGATTATCAGGAGTAGCAATATCTGTCAGTCCCCTCAGAAATACAGGGAGGGTGGCGGGGCCTTTGAGAAGTGTAACAACTAAGAAGGGGAAATGGGGAACAAAAAAAGCATGCAGCATGTTGAAACCTGCCTCCAAGTTGAGAGGATGGAGCCCAGTAACAAGGATAATGGAGAGCCAACAGGAGGAGAAAGGAGCATGTGTACGTGTGTGTGTTTGTGTGTGTAAAAGGTAGACCTCTGTGGATAGGAAATCTAAGAGGAGGGGGCAAGGAAGGAACGGAGAAAAGGCAGGCGAGGAAGTTCCAGGATCGGGGGAGTGGAGACCACCAGCGCAGCATGGCAGACAGCAAAGAGAAGGCAGCTGGAGGAGTCCAGAACAGGAGAGGGAGCCTACCCGCCTTGGAGTGGGGGCCTTCTGGCATTATTTCAGTGGCTGCAATATACCCAGCACCCCTCACTCCTTCTTCTCGAGGGTCTCTTTTCTGTCCCCCAGCAGAGAAAGCACTGCCTCCTTCAATTACATATATATGTGCATATGTAATATATAATCACACACGTGAAAACACACACACCATACATACTTACATTAAAAATGGAATCAAGCACCATCTACCAAGCAATAGAGTTAACTCCTTAAACACCCACCACCCTTTCCAGCCTGATTTTTTTTTTCCTCCAAAGCGATGGTTCCTCCATTTCACATGCTCTTGCCTGGAGTGCGAGTAGGGTATGTGTGCGTGTGTGAACACTTCCCCTCTGCCCCTCATCCGATCAGGAGAAGCCCCCTCCTCTGGCTGTAAGCCCAAGTCTCCCTTCTGTTACCGCAGCACAGCTTTAGGGAGCCAAGCAAAACAGTCAGTACCGGGGAGGGGGTACACAACCCCTATCCCCAAAAAAATCCCTGGCCAGACCCAGAAAGTCCCTCCCCAGGCTGCCCCCTCACTCACCGATCTGGATATTGTTGGGGAAATTGGCACCTACTACCGCGCCTAGGAAACCGGTGCAGAAGAAGGCAAAAATGTGCTGCATATTCCTTTTTGCATTGGCGAAAAAGAAGCCCAGGTCCAATCATAGATTTGGTGTTTCCCCCCCTTTCCCTTTATTCTTCTCGCTGTTCTGCCTGTTCTTTTCCTCCTGCAGTTCCTTCCTTGCTTGCTTGCTTCCTTCCTTTCGTGAGGTTTGTCTGTTTCCCTTGGAATCCGAACACTTAAACTGCAGCGTTAACACCAACTGACAGCCAGATTAACTGAGCACGGGAAAAGAAGCCCGTCCTCATGCTAGCTGGAGCGCTGGCTCCCCCACTCCCTCTCCTCTCCCCTCGCAGCCTGCCTCTCTCTCCCTCCCTTGCTCTCTCTCGCTCTCCCCCTCACACTCACACAGGCAGCAAGCTCTATGCTAATACCCACCGAGCTAGCTTGGAGTTCCACAGCCGACCTCCCTACCTGTTCCCCCTTCCTCCCATCCTCACCTTATCCTCCTTTCTGTGTGTGCAGAAAGGTGGAGGTGGGGGTGTGTGACACGTGGCACTTGGTCCTGAAAGGGGCAACCCCACAGTCCTCTTTACCCTCCCCTGCCTTTCTGAGCTCGGTCTGCCCGCTCCCCCAGCCCCCAGGCTGAAGCTGCTGGGAATGTGGGTTCAGCTGTAAGTCAGTAGGTGGCAGGGGGTCCCCACAATAGTCCTCAATCCACCAGCTGCTTGATCTAGGTCACTTTTTCTAGGAGTGCATGGGCTGCGCTGGATATATCTCCTGCACTCCACTGGCCCAATTATTCCTACAACTAATTCCTGAGGGAAAGACCCTAGAAATCCCTCCTAGGAAATTTAAAGGAAAAAAAAAAAAAAGCTTTCTCTCTCCTAATGGAAGGAATGACAGATAGACAAACAAGGGAGGATCTGGAGTGACTGGCAGGTATTTTGACCAGGTATTTGACAGTCCCTGTCTACCTTTACAAGTGAAACGGTGGTCTCTTTTCAATCCTAGGCATTTAAAATGGGCCCCCTTCTCTCTTTCCCTGCATTCCACAGGAGTCTATAGCATCAGAATCGTGTGGGTGTACAATAAAGACTAAGGATACTTACACAGAGCAATTACATGAGTCATTTTGCAGGGATTCTAGTGAGAGGATTCAAGCTTCTTTCAGGTCTTTCTGGATGCTGGTCATGTCTGGTGTAAGCTGGAACTTCATAGACTCTCCTAGACCAGGGCTTCTGCTGAAATAACCTGTAGAGAGATCAGCTGTGTTCAGGATAGTAGTGTTAAATGCAAAGCAGCAGCCACTAGCCGCCACAGAATACAGTTTTTGAAGGAACTTTACAGATTTTTATCCATCTATCTTCACTCCAAACCTGTAAAGTGGCCATGAGCCCTGTTTTACAGATGAAAAAGATAAGACTTCTGGGATTAAGTCATAAAGACACAGACCTACTAAGATGTACAGTACAACCTACAAACTTGAGTGCTTTGGCCGTTACCAGTTGACTTACTGCCCTGGCCAGGACTCCTGTCCAACAGGAGATGATCCAGGAAAAGGAAAGTCAACTTTGTCTTTAGTAAGAAAGAAATAATAGACTTTGGACTCCATTTTGCTTTGCCATATGAATAGGCCATTTTATCCACAGACTCTTCACTTCCCTCACCAGGACTGTATATCATGTGGACTTGAGTGACAGCTACAAGGACTGGGATTTGTAAAAAATATCTGACCATGTACAATGAAGCCCCAAAATAGGAACAACTTGGAGGTCAAATGCTTTGTGATTTCCTATGCACTTTCACATATATTAATTAATTAGCTAAAATAATTTTTAAGGCTAATGTTTATTCACTATTTTGAATGTGCCAGGTACCATGCTAAGAAATGCACCTGCATCATTTATTTGTACAATACCTGTGTAGGTAGCCTCATGCCCATTTTATAGATGAAGAAACAGAGGTCTAAAAACTCACCCCAAGTTTTCACTGCTAATGAAAGAGATTGGGCATTTAAACACAGTAAATGCCACCATCAGGCCCCAGCTCTTAACTCTTAGGCTCTAATAACAGCAAGCACTGGGTAGGAACCTTCTAAAGGAAGAATAAGCATCAGCATAGGAAGATGAGAGAACAGAATCAGGAAAGATCACTTCTAAGGTCTCTGCCAACATTAAGAGTCTCTGATTTAATGATTCCATCTTTTAATTTCTCCATTTTCAGTTTTTGTATCTTACTACTTTGAATAGTACCTGGGGATCTTTTAGGTTCCCTAAGCTTTGTGCCTGGTAATAATAATAATTAGGCTGTCATTAAAGGCTTCACACCTTGCAATCACCTTTTAGAGGAAGCTCTTTAGACCCTTTACAAGCAAAACCTCAATGTCCCCCTGCATTAGGTAAGATTTGTTTTGCATACTTTGTAGGGAGGGGACTTTTAAGGGAGTCAAAAAGATGAATTTTCCATGGTCATTATAAATCATATAGTCAAGCAGATCTTCCTAAAACAGAGGTCTACGTCATTGCCCTGCTCAAGTATGGTCAATAGCTCCCCTTGGTCTATTAAATACATAGTTGTTCACTGATTAAATATAGAACTTACATATTTCAAGTGTAGGCATCTAGGTCAAACTACATTAGGTTCAATGTTTATTCCATGTTTCTTTATAATTCTCTTCATTTCAAATGTTGGTGGGGAACCTATTCTGTATCTCACAGGGTGCCAGGTGCTGGGCAATATGAAGAGGAATCAGACACAGTCTCTGCCTCAAGGCAGGTGAATGTGGCAGAAGAAGAAGACAGACGAACCCGGACAACTGTCACCCAGAAAGACCATGACAAGTGCTCTAAAAGATGTAAACACAGCAGCGGGGGAGCAAAGAAGGATGCAATCAGTGTGTCTGTCTGTGGGGATCCAGCAAGGCTTCAAAAGAACTGAGCCGTGAAGGATGAGGAGATTATAGGCAGTAACTGAGGACTGGGAAGGACATGCAAACCAAGGAAAGAGCCCCAGCAAAGGCTGGGGGCAGGAAAGAATGCCACGTGCTCTGTTAGCCTGGAGCCGGCAGTGCATAACTGGGAAGAGTGTACTGGGGAACTTGGAACTTAGAGGAAGTCAGTGTCAGGATTTGGAACCCACTGAATTCCTGGTGGACCATGATGAGCCATGGGGGCATTTTTAGTATGCTAGTTACAATAGCGGGCATGTGCATGAGAAAGAAAAGATTGACCACTGGTAGAAGGTGATTTTCTCATTTCCTCATCCTCAAAGGTTAGAACTACCTACCAAACAGCTTCATTTCCCTAAATAACTTATTTGACGTCATCCTTTATTAGCTCATCATGCTGTCTCTCTTTAGAGTCCCCAGTCCTATTTGCCATTCCCAAAGTGGCAAAGTCTTCAAAGTGGCTACATGATTAGCTTAAGACAGTGGTTCTCAACTGACAGCAATTTTCTCCCCCAGGGGATATTTGGCAAAAATGTCCAGAGATGTTTTTTGTTCTCACAATTATGGAATTGTACCCCTGGAATCTCATGGGTGAAGGCCAGGGATGCCACTAAACATCCTACAATTCACAGAGCATCCACCCCACAAAAAAGAATTATCTGGTTCCAAATATAAATAGCATTGAGGCCAAAAAACCTTCCTTAAGGGGACTAGTGATTGGCATGCCAGGGACTGGGCACCAGGACCCTGCAGCGTCCCTCCCATTATATTACACTGAAGAAAAATTAAGTTGATTATCTTTTAAGACTTTTCATATTTTAAAGTGGGATATCTGAAGATGGGTGCTCATTAAAGTCCAGCAGTTAAGTATCTAATGGAGGAACTCCAGGTGGCTGACATCCCATTGGAAAAGCCTCCAAATGCTGCTCAAATTGTGCTCTAGAGACAGCATGGCACCTACTCCTCAAATTAATTATGACCCATCCCAGCTCATATTTTTGGCATACTTTAAGTCCTCTTACCATGTAGCCAAAACAGTCTAAGATTTACTTATTTTGGCTTTGTTTTGACACCGCAAATCAAGGAGAATGGTGTTGGACAGGGATTACAAATGCAAATGCTTCCTTGAGCCAGGCAGGGAAATGAATGAAGTGAGCCAAGTTGGGGAGAATGGGGAAGACAAACGGAACTAGAGAGACTGTGCCCTGTTAAAGGTGGCCACAGGGACTCAATAGGCAGCAGATTATTACCATGAGGAATTGTAGGCCTAGAGTGGCTAGATCCTCAGATTCTTTTCTCAAGGAAAAGTAGAAATATGGAATATATATATATATACACACACATATATGGGATATGGAATATAGTGACTTAGGGAAAAAAGGGGTAGGGTAAGAGTAGTGCCTCTGAGCTTGATCTGACTGACAGGCCACGGAGTGCCAGTGGAATCCTGGAGACAAGAGTCCAACCACTTCTCATGCCCAGTATCAATTTAGGGGCCAAGTCCATTTCCTCTACAAGACTGTTTCCTCATCTATTAAATGACAAGATTAGATGTGGTGATGGCTACAGACCCTTCTGGTTCTGACACTCTGTAACTCCATTTGACAGCAGGGGCTGGGGTAAGGGAGAGAAAGGACAGATGTCAGGTCTGGGGAGGCCCATTCTCTCCTCTACCTCCTATTACCTGTGATAGTGGTATTGGCAAGTTCCTTCCCTTCTTGGACTAGTTTCTCCATCTGCAAAATATGGGTGTTTCACCAAGGTTTCTTCTGGCTTTAACATTTTAGGTTTCTAGTGTAAAGCAATTCAAGGGGGTGGGGGGACCATCAAATTTATGATCTAAGAACAGATTGCTGACAGCTAACCAACTGGCAAAAATGCAATCAGAGAGAGGGTGCCTCTGTGGCTTTAGAAAGGCCTTATTTTTAAAGATGTTTTAAAAAATAATAATGATAATATTTTTTCATGTTTTCTAGCACAATTCATACAGAAGGCTCCAAAATAATCCACAGACTGTGTGTGTGGTGAGAACACACCCCAAAGAATGTAATTACCCACCCTGGAGTTCTGCCAGGTTTAACAGCATTTTCTATCTGCTTTTTTTTCTTCTTCTTCTTTCAGTCTTCCCTCCCCTCCTCACACAAATGACAGCATTTTCATAAGCTCTCAGCATTACTAGGTAATTAGGGAGCCATGCAAGTTCTGGAAAACACCCTGGGGCAGGATCAGTGCCTGAAAAAAAAAAAAAAGTCTATTCCACGATTCCATGGGGAAGCTTCTACGCAGCACCATTGTTACTGGTAGAAATTGGAGGCACTGACTATTCCTTTAAATCAGCAATGCCTTCAGAGAGGCCACCTGGGCCACACTCACATGGGCGGGTGGCCACCATGCAGCATTGGCACCAGCTCTCCTGAGAGGCCCTGCAGCTCATCTGGCCCTAGTCTAGGAGACAATAGAGCCAGACCTTCACCGCCATCCTCCCCAGATGGGTGGTTCTGGATGAGCTATTTAACCCCTTTGTCTCAATGTCTTCATCTGGGAAGTGGGGATAATGAGAGGTTATACTTTGTGGGGCTAGAGAGGGCATTAATGACATGCTCCATGTGAAGGGACTGGTGAATCTCCAAACACACAGAAATGACTCTGCCAGCCATTCCTGTACAGAGGTGTGAAATGTCATTATTTTTGGTTAGAGTCCAGAGTCATCCTGGCATTGGAGGCCTTCCCTGTTGTTCCAATCCACTTCAGAAAGCTTCTCCTATAGCTCAGTGTGCCAGTCTTCTATTAAGCCTATGTCACTTCCCCCACCCTCAAAACATCTGCCCATCAGGAATACACAAACTTCTGCTGCTGGTGCTCCCCAACCTGCTCCTTCCCTCATCCCTCCAATCTCCCTACATGACACCTTCATTCACCTGATTGTCAAGCTAAGCTAAGAACTCCACCTCCAACCCATTAGCAAATTCTATGGGCTGTACTTTAACAATATAGAGCCCAACCACTTTCCACCATCGCTCCACTCCAGGTCATTCATTCTACCCATATCTCTCAATCTTTATCAATTCCTTATTTCTACTCCTTTTGTACACCCTCCCCAGCAACGTAATTTGCTCTCTGTATGGCCACCAGAGTGAAATTTTTAAAAAGAAGTCAGACATTGTCACTCTCCGGCTCCAAAATATCCCAGAACTTCATCCATACTTAAAGTCTGCAATCTGGCAGCTGGCTGCCTCTTTCACTGGTATCCTATACCCTTCCTCATTGGCATCCTCTGCTGCAGTCACACTAGCCTGCCTGCTGTTCATTGGACACACTAATCACCATCTTGTCCCAGGACCACTGCACTTGCTCATCTTTCTGCCTGGAAAGCATCTTCTGTAGAAATCCGCATTGCTTTTGCTCTCACTTCAGGATCTGGTTGGAAGTCTTTTACTACATCCAGCCCACCTGCTGCCATGATTTTTATGTCCCTTACCCTGCTTTTCGCTTTGCAGCATTTGTCGCTACCTATGGTACATAGTTTATCATTTGATCCATTACTAGAATGCATCTTATCCACTCCAGCACTTAGGACAGCATCTAACACACAGTGACTTCTCAATAAATACATATTAAAAGGATAAATGGATGGTCCTTATTATTCCCTGAAGTACCTTTATTTCTCTTGATCACGTTTTAATTTTTTAAGAACCAATGCAATTCCCATCTTCCCTACAATGCTCTCCCATACTGATTTTGGCCTCTCTGAGTATCTGTATTACTTACTGATTTTAATTGACATTTAACTTGACTCTTTCCACTTGATTTTCAGCCTCTTAGGGGTCAGGAATCATGACTATAATGTGAGCTAATTTTTTTTTGAGCACTTACATGTGTCAGGCACAGTGCCAGGCTACATAACTGCCTCATTTTGTGTGATGTTCACAACAACTCTCTGAAGTATGAACACTTATTATTCCATTTACAAGTGGAGAATAAAGGGTTGGGGAGGTTATGTTACTTGCTCAAGCTTATACAGCTATTTAGAGGCAGGGCTGGAATTTCAACCTAGATCTGCCTGGCTTCCAAGGCTGGTTCTCCTAACCACTTTTCTATATTGTCCCAAGGGACATGGTAAATTTGGTAAAATCACTTTGGTAAATTTGCACTGCACAGGCCCTTGGCAATGTGTACAATACTTCCAGAAAGGTAAAGGGCCTTGCCTGGGGACACATGACCTAGCACCGAGAGTCCTCGTATGTAAAACCCCACCCTGTAGTGGTTCAGTCACACTATTCTCAGGAAGGAGCTCTGAGAAGCCATTCAGAAAGCATGCATAAGACTCAAAAAATGAATGTGTTTCAAAAAATGAATGTGCCTTGAAAGAGAAGAAGAACCAATGTTCCTCTCCCCACATCCGATAGCCTTCTTTGATTGAGGCCAAACAGTAATTATGGTGCTTCTTGTAGTCCCCACCCACCCTCGTGGCCAAAGGAAGATTTTAATCAGTTTTCAGGAGACTTGGAACATAAATGATTCTAATTTACTGTCATATTTCTAGTATTAAATTTTGCTGCTTGCCTAACCTCTGGCCTCTCCTTTATTACTCTAAGGGAGACAAAATCATGCAGAAGAAAAATAGAAAGGCTAGGAATGGGACATTTCTCACGTGAAAGAGAAGCAGGTAGAATGTCAAAGTGGGAAAGACATTTTGAGATCCTGGAGTCCAGCACCTTCAATTTAAAAATGAAGTAGGATCTCAGGTTAAGTCATTTGCCCTGGGTCACCCAGCCAGGTAGCAGCAGATCAGAGACTTGAAGCCCAAGCTCGGCTGTGTGAGTGGTATTGTTCATGTTCTGTCACAGTGAGACCTGACGCGAGGCTCATTTAAAGGGGTCAAAGTAATAGCTACAAAAACTACAGCTTTCAGAAACACAAGAGAAGAGGCCTAAGTTAGATCTTTTAACAAGAGAAGGGGCCTAAGTTCGACAGATCTTTTAGAAGAGGCAGATGGAGTCCCTGGAGAATGTGATCTGCCCACCATTCCATAGCTCATGCAGTAAGTTTTCCATGAAAGACTTCTGAGATAATATTTCAGCATAACAGACAGGGAAGGCCAAATGATTAGGCTACAGACCACTACTTGACAGTTCGACTGGTAGAATAACTCTTATGTAGGAATAAACACAGGCAAGAGTTTGTAGTGTCCTTAACATAGACTTTTAAATAAAGCTTACCTCTCCCCTCCTCTATGCCTCACCTTGCATTCCTTCTTTCCCTACTCTTTTCACCTCTTTTGTGGACCCTTTGAATAAAGTATTTCCTGAACTCCTCATTCCCCATTCCCACCCTTCTTCTATCCCAATGACTGCTGTGGTGGCTTCACATCTTTAGGACCTGATTCAATAGCTGCCTGCTCTGAGCTGGCCACCATGCTCCACCATCCCATTTCCATTCTCTAAGTCAAGCAGAAATAGCATCTTGGCTCTTGTAGAATGGAACAGTGTGTAGGCATGGCAAAAGGGAATCAGCCTCCTTGGGGAAGTCAAGGATGGTAATATAATAATGTCACTTACAGCAGCTACCATTTGCCATCATGTGCTGGGCACCAGGCTAAGTACTTTATACATATTAGACTACTCCTATTTTACAGGTGAGGCACATCTTGGTCTTTTAGCCTTCAAAGTCAATCACCACTCAGCTCTATATGCCACAGAAATCTTCTAAAAGCATTATATGTCATGTTATTCCCTCATCAAACCTGTAGAAATAGTATTATTTAACTCTTCTTTATTTAACCAGTGATGAGACTAACTCAGGAGGCTAAAGCACTAACCTAAGGCCACAGAACCAGCAAATGGCAGAACTAGATCTTGAGACAGGTCATTTCCTCCCACGTGACACTGCCAGTTTCTGCATCCCATCATGCCCCTCACTTTTTGAGGGGTCAGTAGTCTTCCCACTTCACCTTTCCCCTGACCCTTGCAATCAGCCAGTAGGCAATGCTTTCCACCTCTAACTCTTGAGATGAGGCTCCCAAGCAGGGCCAATAATCTCAAGAACTTCATTGATAGTATCTCATATTGAAAATCATATGATTTTTGAAGTAAACAAAATCTGATTCTACAATATTGTCTTTTATTATTTTTAGCGAAAGTATACCATTTCAACTATAGTAATGTCAACCTGGCTGGGATAGACTTACCTAGAAAACTAGCCACTATTTATTTACAGCACATTTTGCTAAAAACCTAACCACTATTTATTTATGGCATTTTCTAGCTGAATATAAGAAAATATACTCCCTGAACTCAAAACAAGAATGAGACTTCAAATCATTGGTAAACTATTTAAGGCATAAGACTTCTTTCACTGGGGGAAGGTGGGGTCTCTAGAATCTTCCTCACCAGAAGGTACAACAGCTGGTGAGAGCAATGTGGCACCAGCCTTTGACTCCAGGGGGATGGAATAGGCAAGGAAGTACTTCAGCAGGGCAAACTGGCATCTGGTACAGGTGCCTCGCTTTGCTCTGGAGTTAAATGTGAGGACATACCTCTCCAGCCCCAACTCTCCAGAGCCAGACCAAGACACACCATGACTGCCTGCACCCTCTGCCAGCAGCACCAGTTAGGTGGCTCAGTCAGGAAAAGATCCCATGAGCATTCCCCAAAATGAATGGGTTCTATCACTGCCTGTCACCATCACATGGCAGTCCTGGAACAGGTAAATTCCTAGGGTATCAGGAAGCCCTAACAAAGGGCAGAAGGGAGAAACTAAAACAGAGGCAGAGTCTGAATGGCAGCCCTAGAGTATTCTATACTCCCTCTGATATAGAAATGCATGAGGAACACTGGGTTCCTATGCAGCTTTTGGCAGGACAGACATCTTGAGAAGCAAAGGCAGTTAAGATCTATGGCCTGGGACATAGGTCTTCCTGGATGTCAGATACCCAGGTCATTGCCTCAACATTTTCCACGATGTAGCTCAGTGGGTCCTGCACCTTTACCACAACTGGGCTATCTCTCCCATGCACTTGCAGAGCTGTGGCTGTCTGTGTCTGTGATGGTCGAGCAGGGCACAGTGATCCACTGCTGTAAAGTTTTGGGGGAAGAGTTGAGTTGGGGAAGGACTGAGAACACCAGGTGTCTTTCTCCATAGACTCTTTCACTCTAAAGTGTTCCTTTTGCCATGGTTCTCAGCTTCTAACTTCCAATAGAAAGAGCCTCCTGTTCCCCTCTAAAGCTGACCAACCCCTCCTGCTTTGCTATCTCAAGGGCCTCCTCCTCTGACTCACCTTCTCTGGGAGAAATGGCTTCAGCCTTTCAAAGCACTGAAGCTACTTCTCCCAGGGGAAGTCCCACCAGCAGCTGGCCTGTCCCTAGGGGTTGTGATCTCACCAGAGGAGACAGAATGACTTGGCCTGGGAGGAGTGTCCTGGGAAATGAGGGCCTCAAGGGACTGACCAGGAAGTCAAGACACTATTTCTCCTCCACTGTAGGATCCTGTTCACTGAGGAGCCACAGTGCAAGAGAGAAAAGTTTCTTCCAACCTGACTTCAAAGACAATGGCAACAGAGGGACTAAGGCAAGTAGGCTTTTCAAGGGGGGGTCTCCACACCTGGGCTTACTGGGTAGAGCCAGAATATCAGAGGCCTGAACTATTTCCTCTTCAAAATGCCACCAGGAGAGCTCAGGCACAGGCAGTAGGCCACTCTGGCTCCAGTTCACACATATAACCCTTGGATGTCCTTCAAGGGGTGGGGGAGGTGGAAACAGTGGTCAGAATCCAAAGCCACAGCCTGAACACAGGCCTCCAGAATGTCTGTCAGGTGTGAGGAGACCAAGATGGCAGCTCCCTGTCCTCATGCACTTCCAGCCTGCAGGATGAGGGGAAGTGGGGGTGGGATGGGCAATGGTCCAGAGAAACAGGCTAGCCTTGACTCTTCCTGACTTCCACCCTTAGTGGACACAATTCTAGCATTTGTTGGCCTCTTCTCCAAAGTCCAAATTCTGCATTCTCTTCGGACTGGCCATCTTCTCCATGTGTCTCTAGGCTCTTTTGTATGAAAACCACCCTGCATAGCAGGCACGTGCTTCCTTTAGGTGCAAATTCGGTTCCTTACTGAAAACTGTAGTGTTGGAACCCTGGAAGGACCCTCTGAGGACCATTCCGAGAAAAGACAAGGGAATCTGGGGAGAGGGGTGGGGCTGAGAACTGAGCAAGAGTTTGAATTGGCAGCAGGAACTGCCAATCATACATGCTCTAGAGTGTGGAACTGGAGGCAGTCCCTAGACAGGAAGCCAGAACTGGAAAGAGTGGGTCCAACTGGAGCAAGACCTTTGACATAAGAAACTAAGAGAGGCTGCAGGGAAGAGTGCGGAGGATGCCTTGTGACTTCTGCTAGGGCATCTGGAGTGAGGCACCATTTCTCAAGGACTCCTTGACCACTATACAGATGGTCCAGATGTTAGCCTATTGACAAAGCCAAGCTTGCCAAATGTAACCCTCAAAATTATTAACTTTTTACCCAACTAATATTTAGAGTGTGGACTCTGGAGTCAGAGTGCTTGAGTTTGCAGACTAGCTCCAAGGCTTATTTGCCATGTGACCTCAAGCAGAGTATTTTAGCTCCCTGAACCTCCTTTTCCCACCTATAAAATGGGGATAATAATACCTCAGGAGCTATTGTGCGCATTAAAAGAAAAGCTACATGTATAGTGCTTGGCACAATGCCTTGTCAACAATTGACCTTCAATACATGTTCATGGTTAGCTACAATTTATTGGCACCTTATTTGGGTCAGTGCTGAATTGGATACTTGGAACCAGAAAAGCAGTTTCTATCTTGTATTTTCTATGACAAAAATAAAACAAGGACTTTAGGGAGCATGTGGAGATGCTTCTGTGCATCAGCTCCTAGGAGATACATCCCAATGATGGGACAGGAGGATGCAAGGTCAGCGTAGGAAGACAATGTGAAGGTTCAAAGAGGAAGTTTTGGAAACTTAAAGTGAATTTTCACTCAGGGCATGAGGGCAGTGGAGGGACTAGACATTCAAAGCTAGTTGATGGCATCCTTTACAGCTGCTAACCAAAACCTTCCAGAGCTCAGGACCTCAGTGGATTGGTGTCACACTTAACCCATGCAGCTTTGGAAGAGGTGGAGAAATGGTTCTGAATGACCTGTAACCTGTAGCAGGGAGGCCCACACAGGCCAAGACCTCATTTACTTTAGGCTAAGAAAACTGGGCTCAGGAAAGCACTTCTTTATAAAAGAAAGTGTGATGTTGTAGGTAAGATGTCAGGCTCCAGAGCCAAAGTCTCTGTTTGAATCCCAGCTCTGCTCATTACTAACTTTGGGACTTTTGGAAAAATCTCTTTATTTCTTAGTACTGTAGTTTTTTCATCTGTAAAATGGCAATTGTAATAATACAGACTTTAGAAATTTGTTTTGAGATTAAGCACTGTAAGTGTCTGACACATAGTAAATACTCAAATGTTAGCTATTATTATCAATGCTGCAAACTCTCATAGCCTCTTCTTTATCACAGCCTCGCATTCTCCATTCTTGCTTCTCACTGAGTTTTACCACCCACTTCCATGAGAGTTTCTGGGAAATATTTAAGCTGTTCTCTTTTTATCAGTGTGTATATCCCCTCCACTTGCAGTCAAAGGCTTTGTTTTTCTGAACTTTAATTCTAGCTTCCCCTCAAATGTAGCTTTTAGCCAAGGCAAAACTCAGCCTCCTGAGATTGTTTCAGCGCTGGTACTAATCACATGTTGGGATTCAAAAGAACACAAGCATTTCCTTATAATCTGAATCTAAGATATGTATGGTTTGTGGGATTAAACAATGTAGGTAAGGGTTATGACTTAGAGTAATTCTTTGCTAGGGATAGTGAGTGTGTGTGTGTGTGTGTGTGTGTGTGTACAGGAGAGAGACACACACACACCAAAAGAGAGAGAGTTTTTGCTCCCTAGGAGACATTTGGCAATGTCTGGAGATATTTTTGATTGTCACAACTTTGGATGGAAAGGGTTTGCTACTGGCACCTAGGGGTAGAGGGCAAGGATGATGCTCAACATCCTGCAATGCACAGGACAGCCCCACAACAAAGAATCTTCTGGCCCAAAATGTCAATACTGCTGAGCTTGAGAAACCCCAGTGAAGAGGGAGAGAGTCTGGAAAGACAGACTGATGCCAGATTACAGAGGACAAACCCAAATAGAATAATCAAAGGTTTTTGAACAGGAGAAGTGACATGTTCCATGCTATGCTTTAGAGCGATAACCTAGGAGACATAGGCAGGAGCCAGTCAGGAAGTCACCGCAATTACAATTAACCAAGTGAATTCCAGAATTAGGGCATCAAAAGAGGAAGTTAAAAGGAAGTGTTGAATAAGAATTTAGCTCTTATACAATTTCTCTATCACAAATCACCTCCTATTCCTACAAATATATTACTTGTAATTATATAAATATGGCCGATTTCTGAATCAAGAAGCATATTATGAATACAATATTTTTTCACCTATAGATCTTTATTTTTCAAGCTTAATACATTTCTTGCTTTTACATTTGTTTAATTGCATGACATAGGAAAAACATAAATTAACTTCAGATTGGCAGTTACTGTAGGGAGGAGTAAGGGAATAGGAAGGCATAGGGTTGTTTTAACAGTGATTGTAACATTTTATTTCTTGGAGAACAAAATGCCTTTGAATCCAATACAGCAGAAATGTTTGTCGTAATATTTTCAGAATTTTCTTATGTGTTTGAAATTTTCATATTATTTTTACTTTTTAATATAAAGAAAAGAGTTGTGAGATTAAACTTGAGCAGGGTAGGATTGGCAAACATTTTCAATTTGCTGAATGTGGAGAGTTAGAAAAGAAGGGTAAAAATTATATGCTAGTGTTTTTGGCCTAATACAGTAGGAACATAAAACTGATAATCAGGGTAAGAACTGTAGAAGGTAGAAAACATTGTGAGTGTGTGTGGGTGTGAACACGTATGCACATGCTGTTGGGGGGAGGGATTGCCAAGAAAAATGAGTAATGCTTGAGATATGCTAAGCTCAGTTTCCTGCAGTACATCTTTGTGGCCATTTGGCTGTGAGCAAGCTAGCTTGGAAATTCAGAATTAAAGTCAGAGCTAGTCTCAAAGGCTTAGGTAACATCTACTTGGGTTAGGAGTGAGGCATTGGAGCTGTGGGGGTGGGCAGTGTCTTCAAGGGAGAATGCAGAGTGAAGAGACAAAGTCTGAAGATCAAGCCTTGGAAATCATCAATATTTGAGGGGGTAAGGAAAAATATATATATTTAAAAAAACAAGGAGAGATTTCAGGAGCCGGAAGAATACAAAAAAGAATATGTTGTCACAGAAACCAAGGCAAAGAGGATTTCTGAGAAGGAACGTGTGGACAATGGTGTTAGAGGCTATGGAGGAGAGCCACTGGATTTGACTATAAATAGTGCAGTGGGGAAGCCTTAAGAAAGTAAATTCACTAGAGTGAGGGGCCTCTCATTTATTCACTCAAAGCTATTTATTGAGTACATACTTGGTTATTGTCCAGTGCGAGGATCTGAGGAAATAAGCTAAACAGGGTTCTCTGCCCTCCAGGAGCTCACAGTCTAGTGCTTATATCTATGAATCAATAGCCTGTAATGTGGCAATTTATTGTTTCTATGATAAAAGCATGCACAGGGTATGATGGGGTCATATCAGGAAAGGATTCTTGGAAAAGGTGACTTCTGAGCTGAATTGATGAAGCTAAAGAATGAAGGATGAATAGGAGTCACATGTGAATGGAGGATGAAGGTTAATGGAAAAGGAGACAATTTTCTATGCAGAAGGATCAGCATGAGGACAGCCTTAGAGCCAAGATAAATCATGGTGAGATTTCAAGGAGCCAGAGTAGTTTGGAAAGGTTTGAGTGGCAAAGGATGAGTCCTGGTGAGCTGTGCAGGGGCCAGGCCAGGAGGTTCCTTTTGTGTTCCAGTGTAGCATTTGGACTTTATCTTAAAATCCACCAGTAGCAACTAGAGCTATGTAGTAAAGAACTTGCTTAATGTGCTCAGTTTTACAGTTTAATACAGGTGCATAGAGAAGCCCGTGTCTTTAAACCACTGTGTCTGCCATTTAGCAAATGCTTAAAAATATTTGTTGAATTAATGAAAAAAATTAAAAGGAATCTCAATCATTCATTCCAAAGTGAACTTATAAAATGGAAGTGTAGAACACAGAGAAAGTAAGATAGTTCAATTTTTTGTCTATTTCCCCATTTCAAAACCTAGCCACGTTTTAGTTATATAAATACATATTCATTTTAGCAAATGTTAGCTCATGAAAGTATGAGAAAAGTCGTCACTTAAAAACTTCTACTGAAACAACCATTATCAACACTTCTGTGACCATTTTTTTCTGCATTTCTTTATACAAACTAGACATTCACATATTTACATTTATATGGATGAGATCATAGTTTATCTGTTTTATCATGGATATACTTTGTATTGCTTTTGTTGAGAGTGGAGTAGAGAAATACTGAGCACATATATCTGTTGAAAGAACTATCAAATGGAGGAAGACAAATGAGAGATCCAAGAGAAGAGACATGGAGATATAGTCAGCAAAATCCAGAATATGGAAATCTCTGCAGAACAAATTACCAGTTTCTTCAACCAATAAATTGCACAGGAAATTTGTCAATGGACATATCAACCAAATGCAATATGCATACCTTGTTAGGATAGTGATTGGAATAAATAATTTAAAAAATTAGAATAATGTAGAATATTTAAGTCCTGACAGGATAATTGACATAAAAGAAAACTATTACATAAATGGCCTGATGGAGCTGAAAAACACAACACGAGAACTTCACAATGCAACCACAAGTATCAACAGCTGAATAGACCAAGCAAAGGGAAGAATTTCAGAGCCTGAAGATTATCTTGCTGAAATAAGACAGGCAGACAAGATTAGAGAATAAAGAAAAAAAAGGAATGAACAAAACCTCCGAGAACTATGGGATTGTGTAAAAAGACCAAACCTACGACTGACTGGGGTACCTGAAAGAGACGAGGAGAATGGAACCAAGTTGGAAAATGTACTTCAGGATATCATCCAGGAGAACTTTCCCAACCTAGCAAGACAGGCCAACATTCAAATTCAGGAAATACAGAGAACACCACTAAGATACTACATGACAACATCAACCCAAAACACATAATTGTCAGATTCTCTAAGGTTGAAATGAAGGAAAAAGTGTTAACGGCAGCCAGAGAGAAAGGCCAGGTTACATATAAAGTGAAGCCCATGAGACTAACAGTGGACATTTCAGTAGAAATCCTACAAGCCAGAAGAGATTGGGGGCCAATATTCAACATTCTTAAAGAAAATAATTTCCTGGCCAGGCGCAGTGGCTCACGCGTGTAATCCCAGCACTTTGGGAGGCTGAGGCAAGTGGATCATGAGGTCAGGAGATCGAGACCATCCTGGCTAACATGATGAAACCTTATCTCTACTAAAAATACAAAAAATTAGCTGGGCGTGATGGCACGCACCCATAGTCCCAGTTACTCAGGAGGCTGAGGCAGGAGAATCGCTTGAACCCAGGAGGCGGAGGTTGCAGTGAGCCAAGATCGCACCACTGCACTCCAGCCTGGGTGGCAGAACGAGACTCTGTCTCAAAGAAAAAAAGAAGAAAGAAATAAAAGGAAGAAAGAAAGAAGAGAAAGAAAGAAAGAAAGAAAGAAAGAAAAAAAGAAAGAAAGAAAGAAAGAAAGAAAGAAAGAATAATTTCCAACCCGGAATTTCATATCTGGCCAAACTAAGCTTCTTAAGTGAAGGAGAAATAAAATCCTTTTCAGACAAGAAAATGCTGAGGGAATTCATCACCATCAGGCCTGCTTTGCAAGAACTCCTGAAGAAAGCACTAAATATGGAAAGGAAAAACCATTACCAGCCACTACAGAAACACACTGAAGTACACAGACCAGTGACATTCTGAAGCGACTACATCAACAAGTCTGTAAAATAATCAGCTAGCATCATGATGACAGGATCAAATTCATACATAACAGTATTAACCTTAAAAGCAAATGGGCTAAATGCCCCAATTAAAAGACACAGAATAACAAACTGGATAGAGTGAAGAACCCTCTGTGTGTTGTACTCAAGAGACTCATCTCACATGTAAAGACACAAATAGGCTCAAAATAAAGGGATGGAGGAAAAAGTATCAAGCAAATGGAAAGCAGAAAAAAGCAAGGGTTGCAACCCTAGTTTCTGACAAAACCAACAAATATAAAAAAAAGACAAAGAAAGGCATTACATAATGTAAAGGGCTAAATTCAACAAGAAGAGCTAACTGTCCTAAATATATATGCACCCAATACAGAAGCACCCATATTTATAAAACAAGTTCTCAGAGACCTACAAAGAGACTCCCATGCAATAATAGTGAGAGACTTTAACATACCACTGTCAATATTAGACAGATCATGAAGACAGAAAATTAACAAAGATATTCATAACTTGAACTCAGTTCTGGATCAAGTGGAATGGATAGATATCTACAGAACTCTCCACCCAAAAATAACAGAATATACATTCTTCTTGGTGCCACATAGCACTTACTCTAAAATAGATCACATAATTGGAAGTAAAGCACCCCTCAGCAAATGCAAAATAACTGAAATCATAAAAAAACAGTCTTTCAGACCACAGTGCAATCAAATTAGAACTCAAGATTAAGAAATTCACTCAAAACCATACAACTACATGGAAATTAAACAACCTGCTCCTGAATGACTCCTGGGTAAATAATGAAATTAAGGCAGACATCAAGAAGTTCTTCAAAACCAATGAAAACAAAGAGACAATGTGCCAGAATATCTGGGAGGCAGCTAAAGCAGTGTTAAAAGGGAAATTTATAGCACTAAATGCCCACATTGAAAAGCTAGAAAGATCTGAAATCAACATCCTAACATCGCAACTAAAAGAACTAGAGAACCAAGAGCAAACAAACCCCAAAGCTAGCAGAAGACAAGACATAAGCAAGATCAAAATGGAGCTGAAGCATATAGAGACATGGAAAACCCTTCAAAAGAGTCAACAAATCTAGAAGTTGATTTTTTGAAAAAAAAAAAAAATACATAGACTGTTAGCTAGACTAATAAAGAAGAAAAGAGAGAAGAATCAAATAGACACAGTAAAAATTATATAGGGGACATCATCACTGACCCCACAGAAATAAAAACAAAAATCAGAGAATACTATAAACGCCTCTATGCAAATAAAAGGAAAATCAAGAAGAAATGGATGAATTCCTGGACACATGCATTCTCCCAAGACTTATCGAGGAAGAAATTGAATCCCTGAATAGACCAATAACAAGTTCTGAAATTGAGGCAGTAATAAATAGTCTACCAACCAAAAAAAGTCCAGGACCATATGGATTTACAGCTGAATTCTACCAGAGATACAAAGAGAAGGGTAGCGTACCATTCTCCTGAAACTATTCCAAAGAATTGAAAAGGAGGAACCCCTCCCTAACTCATTTTATGAGGCTGGCATCATCCTGATACCAAAACCTGGCAGAGATACAATGAAAAAAGAAAACTTCAGGCCAATATCCCTGATGAACATCGATTCAAAAATTCTCAATAAAATACCGGCACACCGAATCCAGCAGCACATCAAAAAACTTATCCACCATGATCATCGAGTTGGCTTCATCCCCGGGCTACAAGCCTGGTTCAACATACACAAATCAATAAACATAATTCATCACATGAACAGAACAATAGAAAAAAAAACAAATGATTATTCCAATAGACAGAGAAAAGGCCTTCTACAAAATTCAACATCCCTTCATGTTAAAAACTCTTAATAAACTAGGTATGAATGGGACCTACCGCATCATAATAAGAGCCATTTATAACAAACTCACAGCCAACGTCATACTACATGGGCGACAGCTGAAAGCATTCCCCTTGAAAACTGGCACAAGACAAGGGTGCCCTCTCTCATCACCTCTATTCAACATAGTATTGGAAATTCTGGCCAGGGCAATCAGGCAAGAGAAAGAAATAAAGCGTATTCAAATAAGAAGAGAGGAAGTCAACCTGTTTCTGTTTGCTATTAATATTTTATGTGTGATGATGTTGTGGTTATTTTTAATAGTCCTTTATAGAGACATTATAGTATATATGGATGAAGTAATAATGTTTGAGATTTGCTTCAAAATAATCTGGTGGAGGTGCGTGTTGGGTATCTATAGATAAGACAAATGTAGCCACGAATTTGTGATTGTTGTAATTAGGTGAAGGCTATATGGAGGTTCATTGAATTATTCTCCTTACATTTATTTTTGTTTAAAATACTCTATTATAAAAGTTGAAAAAATGAAAGAATAAAAAAAGGAAGGAAAGGAAGAGTAAAAAGGACTCAGTAAGAATCACACACACACACACACACACACACACACACACACACACACATACATACACACACACGCACACAGAAAGGGGACTTTTTGACCATGGGGCTGATCGGGAGATAGGCAATGGGTTTCCATGGAAGAAGCTGGAAACTGTCATTCTCAGCAAACTAACACGGGAACGGAAAACCAAACACCGCATGTTCTCACTCATAAGTGGGAGTTGAACAACGAGAACATATGGGCACAGGGAGGGGAACGTCACACGCCGGGGCCTGTTGGGGGGTGGAGGGCAGAAGGAGGGATAGCATTAGGAGAAATATCTAATGTAGATGATGGGTTGATGGGTGCAGCAAACTACCATGGCAGATGTATACCTATGTAACAAACCTGAACATTCTGCACATGCATCCCAGAACTTAAAGTATAATAAAAAATAATATGAAGCAAAAAAAAAAAAAAGGAACGTGAATAAAACATCCTCTTCAGAGACACACGAGAGGGGTGGACCCTGGGAACGTGAGATAGGAGAGAAAAAGTAGAAGGATTTAGTCTTGCATGGGCTCAGAGAAGCAGACAGCACAGTCATCAGCTGAAGTGCAGGGAGTGGTTATATCTGGGAGCTTAAGGAGAGCAGATTCAGAGAATCCACTGTCAGGACAGCAATAGTCTGTCAATTAGGGCTGGAAAAGAAGGATTAAGAAACAGCACTGGGGGCTCCTGCTGTGGTGAGGCCGTGTGGACTGGAGATAGATGCAGGCAGCACAGTTATGACTTCAGCACCAAGCCCTAAAGTTAGCAAAGGAGAGTAGAGAAAACAGCAAATTTTTCCCACTGTTTTTATTCTGAACAACTTTTCCATTTCCTCTGTGTTCCTAGTATTTAGGCTGAACTGTAAAATTTGTCAGTAGTATATACTGACTCAAGAAATAGCTACAATTCTCTGAGTGCTTACTATGTGCCAGGCACTGTGCTAACTGCATTGTGAGGATTAACTTGTTGAATCCTTACAATGGTATGAGATGTGATATCAACCTCAGGAATAAATTCAAGACCTCCTGTATGCCTGGCATTGAGCACATTGAGTGTACAGAGGTAAATAAGACATTTATGAACTTCTGTTTTTATAGAGCTTGCCATCTAATAAGAGTGATGAAGTAATCACAGAAAAATGTATATTTAATTATATTTGTGATA
The DNA here is from genome assembly GCF_000001405.40 of Homo sapiens. Classification (NCBI taxonomy): domain Eukaryota; kingdom Metazoa; phylum Chordata; class Mammalia; order Primates; family Hominidae; genus Homo; species Homo sapiens. Next base: position 153,470,375 of record NC_000005.10, on the reverse strand, counting down.
ATTGTTGTAAAAGTGAAATACAAAGTGCTATGAGAGTGAACAATAAGAAGACGACTTTCTCCAAGGTTTCCCTGAGAAAATAATATTGATGGAGACCTGAAGCATGAATATCAGTAAATGGGTAAAGTGGCTTGGGGGAAGAACGTTCTAGGCAGAGAGAATTGAAAGACCAGGGAGCTCAAGATCCCTGAGGTAAGACTGGTGAGGGTAGGGGCCAGCTCAGACACATTTAGAGTCCTTTTTAGGCTGTGGAACTTCAGTCTAAGGACCAGAGAAAGCCAAGGAAGAAAGTAACAATATCATATTTGTAATGGACAATAATCCGAGAAAGAGAGAGAAAACAAAGAGTGGGTGAAGTCTAAATATATTCAGGATGCAAACACAACCATCAGGACTTGAAGATTGACAGATTTAGGGGAGAGAAAGAGAGAGAGAGAGAGAGAGAGAGAGAGAGAGAGAGAAACAGATCTCAATAATGCCTCCCAAGTCTGGCATGGGAAAAGAACGTTCAGAATGGCTAAGTCCCATGTTGAAAGTCATGTAGGTGGCTAGGCAGTGAGAAAGGAGATTTTGAAGCCTAGGTTCTTAAGCAGTAGTTTCCATTATTGGCCATCAGTGAATACTTGTGAAATGCTTATGAGACCAACATTCCACAGTGTTTTCACTGAGCCTTTATTTCTTGAGGGAAATGACAGGCAAGCTCCTTTGAGGTGATCAATTCAAGACCCACAAATGACAGCATGCTATGGTGAATAGATAGTACTCAATTGTTTTTCTATTGAGTTGGCCTGCAGCAAATGAATCATGGTTCGTGTTGAAAACAAGCACCTTCATCCATGCAGAACAAGCAGCCTCGTGTGGTGGTACGGTTAGAGTTTAAAAACTCTAGTTTGAATCCTGACTTTTCTTTTAGCCAACTTATATGCTAAGATAAGATACAAGTTGTTGAGAAGAGCCAAAGATTTAGCTACATAACAAAGTGAACCAAGATCCAAAACTTGAGTGAGGTAGTCTGGAATTTCCAGGTTGGTCTATGCATAGAGCTAGCTGATGAAACAAATCAGGGATTAACATACAAATGAATTTCTAATGTGCCTACTATAAGCCACATACTGCAAATACTGAAAATTCCTAGAGCATACATTATCCTAAAATTCATGCAAAAATGACCCACCTATTCCTTGAACTTTCTCATTATCTTACCTATTGAGCTGAATAGAACACAAGAAATAATCCAATTTAATCCTCTCACATTACAGATAGGAAAACAGACATCTGCAGACAGAAATGATTTCCCCAAGAACACATAGCAAGTTAATAAGAGAACAGGGACTAAGTTTCTGGTTTCTTAGACTCCTACATCAGTGTTCTTTCTGGTAGACCAGGCGATTCCTTATAGTGTATGGTTGCCTAGTGGTGTACCCAAAGTAATATTCCTAAAAACAATTTATTCATGTGAAAAACATATATTGAATAGCTAATTTATGTCAAACACTATTTTACCAGCTCAGCAAACAATAATGAATAAAACAGACAAATATTCTTGCCTTCATAGAGTTTATATTTTAGTAGAAGAGGCAATAAACAAGATGCATAGGTATAGTCTAGATTATGTTAGACAGTGATATATTTTATGGACCAAAATTACACAAGTGAAGTAATTACACAAAGTGAAGACATAAGATAAGGGGATATAAAGTGTTAGGAATAGAGTGACATTTTAGACAGATTGAAATTTTAGATAGAGTAGCCAAGAATACCTCATTGTGAAGATATATTTTGAGTAAAATCCCAAAGGAAAAGAGGGAGCCAGCCATGCAGACATCTAGAGAGAGTATTCCAGACAGAAGGAAAATGAGAAAAAGGGCTCAGAAGTGCAGGCAAGTATGGGGTGTTGGGGAACAGAAGGAAGTTTGTGTGGGTGACCTGGAGAGAATGAAGGGGAAAGGATCAAGATATGAGGTCTGAGTGAATATAGGGTCCAGCCCATGCATGGCCCTGTAAGCCAGAATAAGGACTTGGGTTTTAATTTTTGTTACAATAAAAAGTAATGGGGAGGGGGACTAAGGGCCACTGGTCAACCTAGTATATAGAAAAGAGGCTAAAGGGGGTAAGGGCAGGAGTTCAGGGGCCAGGTAGGCAACCACTGCAATAATCAAAGAAAAAGCTGATGATGGTTTGGAATAGAGTGGTAGCAGTGGGGTTGATGAAAAGTTGAATTCTGGTTATATTTTGAAGGAAGAGCAAATGGGATTTGTGGAAAGGCTGGATGTAGGAAATGAGAGAGGCATCAAGGAGCACAACAAGGCAACCAGAAGGATGAAACTGCCATTAATAAAGCATGCTTTGGGGGGTGGGGAAATTTTATGAGCTCATTTTTAGACATATATTTAATTTAAAATGCCTATTAAACATTCAGGTGGAGAGGTCAGGTAGGAAGTTAACTATGAGTCTAGAGATTAGGGAAAAAATTCAGTCTAGGGCTGTGCATTTGGCTGCATATGGATGGTATTTAAAGTAATGAGACTGGCTGAGATAACTAAGGAGAGAGCACAGATGTAAAAGACAAGCAGGTTGAGGACTGAGCCCCAGAGCACTTCAACACTCAGATGTCAGGGAGATGCAGATCATCCAGCAAAAGAGACAAAGAAAGCACTCAGAAGTGTGGGTGGAAACCAGGTAAGTGTGGCATCCTGGAAAGCAAAGGAAGAAAGTGTTTCAATCCCCTTATCAAATGCTCCTGGTAGGAAAAAGGTAAGCTTAGGTCTGAGAAATGTCCATGGATTTAACAACATAAAAGTCATTGTTAATCTTAATGAGAAGAGTTTTGCAAGATGGTTGAGAAGAAAAAATAAACCTGATTGGTGTGAGCTGAAGACAGAATAGAAAGAAAGTGAAGACAGAGAGTTTAGATACCTCTTTCAGGGGGTGCTGCTATAAGGAGAAACAGAGTAAATAAGTCACTGATGATGGGGAAGATAGGAGTAATAACAGCTTGTCTGTATGCTGCTGGAAGTGATCCAATTGAAGGGGGAGGGAAGAGTACAGAAAGTTTTGCTGGAATAAAGCCATTAGGTAGGTGAGAGGCTCATGATGTTCTTTTCCAATTCTTCATTCCTGTCAAGTGGGAAGCAAGGTCAGAGGCTGTGAGTGAAGATGAGGGAGAAGGTGTTGAGGTTTGAGAAGAAAGGGAAAGTGTGAAATAATTATCTGGGAGAGTGGGAAAGAGAACAAACTTGGGAAATACAGTATGATTGTATTAAGAACACACTTATTGATCACAAATTTAAAGAGAAATCAGAAATTTGGTTGGAGGTTATTTTCTGGCTCTTTGTGTTGTACATGTTCTGCCCCTGAGTGGATGAGGAGTTAAATTGATTTAGGATTGTAGTGTAGGTAAGTAAATATGATGCATTTTAGTGTTCAGGACACAGGGAAGGAAATGAAAGACTGTCAAGGAGAATTATTATGATGGTTGATCATGTGATTTAAGCTGGATAAAGTGAGGCCATAGCACAAAGGACTAAGGACAGTATAATGGTGATAGGACCCAAGAGAATTGGGTTCAGAGAGCTTCTGGATAGACAGATGAACATGTGGAGGCTTCTGGAGGGTGGCATACCCAGGGAGTGCATGGAAGCTCCATGCCCCTGCTCCATACCTTGCCCTATATGTATTTTCATCTGTATCTTTTGCAATATCCTTTATAATAAACCAGTAAGAGTAACAAGATGGATCAACGGATTGAAAATACGATGGGGGACAGGCATGGTGGCTCGCACCTGTAATCCCAGCACTTTGGGAGGCTGAGGTGGGCAGACCATTTGAGGTCGGGAATTTGAGACCAGCCTGGCCAACATGATGAGACCTTGTCTCTACTAAAAATACAAAAATTAGCCAGGCGTAGTGGCATGTGCCTGTAATCCCAGCTACTCAGGAGGCTAAGGCAGGAGAATTGCTTGAACTCAGGAGATGGAGGCGGCAGTGAGCTGAGGTTGCTCCACTGCACTCCAGCCTGGGTGACAGAGTGAGACTCTGTTTCAACAACAACAACAAAAAAGAAAAAGATAATACAGGTGGGGTCAAAAGTTTGCTGGAGATAGGGAGTCCAGGGAATGAATGGGAAATATAGGAGGTGATAGGTTGGCTTGAAGTTGATATTTTGGAAGATTTGAAATAATAGGACCTGGCCAACCACGGTGGCTCACATCTATAATTCCAGCACTTTGGGAGGCCGAGGTGGGTGGATCATTTGAGGTCAAGAAGTTCAAGACCAGTTTGCCAACATGGCGAAACTTCATCTCTACTAAAAAATACAAAAATTAGCCTGGCGTGCTGGTGGGCCCCTGTAATCCCAGCTACTTGTGGGGCTGAGGCAGGAGAATTTCTTGAACCCGGGAGGTTGCAGTGAGCCGAGATTGCGTCACTGCACTGCAGCCTGGGCAACAGAGTGAGACTTTGTCAAAAAACACAAAAACCCAGAAAAAGGAAATAATAGGACCTGATGAAGCCTAGGTTATGACTACAAGAATGAGTAGATGAGGAAGGACAGGCCTATGAGAAGAAAAGAGGTTAAGAAATTGGGGTGCCATAGTGCTGGGATGACAGTTCCCTATGGTGACTGGGCACTGTTCAGCACTGGAGATCCTGGGACACTAGAATTAGAATGGCATACCTTACCAGACAATCTGTATTCCCTCCAGAGCAAGGACCACTTAGTACTATCTTTTAAAAAATGGAATGGTTTACTTTGCCATCCATAGACAATTGTTATCTTGTTTTGATCCTCTTTAAATGATATTTTTATAATCAGCTATGAAACTCTAACAGGTGCTCTTAAATGCATGTTTCTGATTGATAACTCTGGAGATTTGGCTTTTCACTTAAAATGTTGCTGATCCTTTGTTTTGTTTTTCAGAGTCAAGGAAACTTTTCTTTTGAGCTATTTACAGTTTTTAGCAATTGAGTAAAGTATACTCCTGTGAACAAAATTTGGAGCATATTTGTTTCTCTCTACCTGTTTTCTCCAGAATTTTGAAAGTATCTGTGAGTATTCTTAATTTACAGCAATGGTTATTTGCATAAGTGCAATAAGAATGTGTTTTCTCTTGCAACAGGACACAGAGAAACTGGTTATTTTACCAAGACTTTAACTGGAATGGCGTGCTTTCCTTTAAGGAATCAAACTTAGAGTCAATAAAAGCCCTTTGGGAAAATAGGCCTCATACTTTGTCTACAGAGTCCGTGTACAGGGGTTCTGATCTGTGGTAAGTAAAGAATGTTACTTTCTGACTGGCCCAGAAGCCCCAAGTTACCTTGGGACCTCGAGAGGAGAGAAATTTATTCAACTCATAGGTATTTGAGGGCATAAGCTCATAGCTGGGATTGGCTTTCAAAAAGTCTCATCTGACATTCCTTCTATGGACCAGAGTTCCAATGAAGCCAATTTAAAAAGCCTATGTGAAAAATAATTATTCTTGCTGCACTTTATACAAATAATTAGGCCAAGTATAAAGCTAAAACTTATTTGGCAACCAAATCAATCTTACCATGATTTGCCTTTAGTAAAAATGGGAGAGTGGAAAGAGAAAAATTAGGTTTCAAAAACTATGGTATACCTGTTCTTAAATTCTAGTCTCATCAGTTGTTTTTGAGGTTTCTTTTTTCGGCAATTTAGACTAACCCTGCTCATTCCTGTAAACCAACTAGTGATCTCTAGCTGCTGCTCAGAAGAAACAAGAGGAATAAGTAATGTAAAAATTTGGATCAATATTCTAATTCTGGGCATGTACTGGAATTAGCTAGCAACCTCATAGAAGCTTGGTTCCAACAACTGCCCAGTTCATGGAAAGCCTTCTAATTCGGTTTACTTGGAATAATTTTGCTTATTTTGCTTTGCTCTTGTGAAATATATTGCAGCTGTACTCTTCAAGTAGAAATGCAAAATAAAATTACTAAATGTTTTCTTAAATTGAACACTTATTAATCTTCCAGATATCACCTTTTGTTTGAACTCAGAGTTATGATTGGCTCTCACCATACTGATGCTTTCTGACATGCGTCTTATATTCAGGGTAGAGAGGAGCTCAGTCAGATATTCCAGTCAAAGCCTTGGTAAAATTGTTTTACCAAGGCATTCACCCCTATTCATCATGAAGAAGTTACAAAAGATGGATCTTTGTCCCTTTACAACCCTTAGGATTAAGGGTTCTCTTATAAAAGGGAGGGGGGCAGGAAATGTCAGAGGCATTTGAACCAGAGCAACTGCATCTTGAATAGGGGCTGGGTAAAATAAGCCTGAGAACTGCATTCTCAGGAGATTAAGGCATTCTTAGTCACAGGATGAGACAGGAGGTTGGCGCAAGATACAGGTCATAAAGACTTTGCTGACAAAACAGCTTGCAATAAACAAGCCAGCTAAAACTCACCAAAACCAAGACTGTGAGGAGAGTGACCTTTGGTCATCCTCACTGCTATGTTTCCACCAGCATGATGACAGTTTACAAATGGCATAGCAATGCCAGAAACTTATGCTATATGGTCTGAAAAGGGAAGGAATCCTCAGTTCCGGAAATTGCCCACCTCTTTCCTGGAAAACTCATGAATAATCCACCCCTTGTTAAGCATATAATCAATAAATAACTGTAAAAATGGGCAACGAGTAGTCCTCTGGGCTGCTCTGCTTATGGAGTAGTCATTCTTTATTCCTTTACTTTCTTAATAAACTTGCTTTCACTTTTAAAAAAACGTCCTGGAGCAGTGGCTTTTGCCTGTAACTCCAGCACTTGCGGGGCTGAGGCAGGTGGATCACCTGAGGTCAGGAGTTCAAGACCAACCTAACCAACATGGCGAAACCCAGTCTCTACTAAAAATACAAAAATTAGCCGAGTGTGGTGGTGGGTGCCTGTAGTCCCACTACTCAGGAGGCTGAGGCAGGAGAATCGCTTGAACCCGGGAAGTGGAAGATGCAATGAGCTGGGATTGCACCACTGCACTCCAGCCTGGGCAACAGAGCGAGAGTCTGTCAAAAAAAAAAAAAAAAAAAAGAGGAATGGTTTGTATGTTCAGGTCTGGGGCATACATTCCTACTATTTACTAATAGCCATTTCCCCTCCATTTCCAGAAAAATGGAGAATTGCACATATATTTTTGTCTTCCTGAAATTAAGCATGGCCGTGTGAATTGCTTTGGCTAATGAAATGTAAGAGTGATGGGGTCAGTAGACGGGCACACTTATTTGCTCAAGTTTGTTCTGCCAAGCTTGCTCTTCTCCTGTCATTTTGAGCTTGGAAGCACATGTTGACATGGAAGTTATTGTCACATGTATTTGACCATGGCATGGAGGCCAGCTACTTTGGAGACCCAGCTACACTTGCAATGAACTTTACATGAGCAAGAAATAGATCTCTGTTGAGATTTGGGTGTGATTTTTCAGTGTAGCATAACCTAGGCTAGATTGGCTGATATTTGCAGCACTCTTTAGCTAGCCCTGTGCCAGTTGTTGAGGATACAGAGGAAAACAAATCATTGTGTGTGCCCTTGACATGGCAGGGAGTGAGAAACAAGATGGCAGAGGAGAAGTCTTATATCAGGAGCAATGAAAAAGAGAGCAGCTGCAAAGGGGCCATGGGAAGGTTTTGGAGATAGGTTTTGCATTTCAAGTTTTCTCTCCTTTGCTTGGCATTTGGAGCCCTCCACAATTAGGTCTTATTCTCATTTTTTCTGACTCTTCATTTTAGTTCCTGGGCTCCTCCATGCAACAAATATGTATTGACTGTCAGGTACTGTGCCAAAAGTTAAATGCAGCAGTAAATGAAGCAGACAACCCCTGTCCTCATGGGACTGACAGTTTAGTGGAAAAAGATGTTAAATTAATTTCCCACCAGAGTGAGTGTTATGAAGGAGCAACGTACCAAAGGGAACCTAATCTGGATTCACCCAGGAAATGAGCAGCAGAAACGGAGGAAATGATTTCAGCTGGAGGAGACCGATTTTTGTTTAAGTGTCCTTATGTGAAAAACAATATGTCCTGCTCAGGACTCTGAGGTTGGTCTGTAGAGCTAAGGAGAAAGTTGAAGGCAGTGAGTGGCTGAAGGTGAAGCTATAGGGATAAGTGTGGGCAAAGGCTAGTCACTGAACGCTTTGACACCAGGCCAGCCAAGGATTGTGCATCTCACTCCCAGAGAAAATGGAAAGCAATCTAAAACTCATATCTTAGAAAATAAAATGCTCAAATTTCTATTTTGAAGATTGTTCTATCAATAGAGTTCAGAATGGATTTTAAAGATATAATGTAAATACAGATAGAACTGTAAGGAAACTTCAGCTATTGGCAGATAAGAGAAGGTGGTGGCTTGGAAAGGATGCTTAAAAGGAGGCTTGATAGAAGAGGGCAGCTTCAAAACATGTTTTGAAAACAAGTTTCAGTTGAACATGTGATTATGGTTAATAAATCACAACCTCATCATATGGAGGTTAGGGAAAGGAAAGCTCCAAGGATAATTCCAATTACCTAAACCACCAAAGGTACAGTAGTGCCACTGCTGATAAAGTAAGCTCATTCTAGGTAGCTGTGGAAGAGGAAATTAAATTTGAGGCATGAGAAATCTAAAGGATCTATGTGCACCCATCTCTTAGGATAGATCCTTCTGTACTTTGTGTTTGTATCGAAGATTGTTCAGTTGCCTCTGCTTGACTGTTAAAGCTGTGAGAGCAGAAACGATGTCTGATTCATTCATGTCATACACCAATCCTCTACCTCCAGGGTCTCAGGGATGAGCTTTGCATGGAAAAAGCACAAGGACCTGCTCACCCAGTGAGTAAATGTGGCAAATCTGGTTTGTTGAGCCCAGGCTGGAAGAAGCTGTTCACTTTGCCTTCACTCCAGGTCTCACTGCTGGGTTCCTGGTCCCACATCATTGTGGCTTCTTTGCAAATTGTACCCAGATTTGGTTCACCTGAGGTGAGCACACAATAAGTGGTTATTTCTCATCCATCTGAACTATTTGTGCTGTTCTGATCTGAGGGATTGTCCTGAAACAGGCATTAAAAAAATCTGTCTCCTTGGGAGATTTCAGATACATTCTGTTTCAACAAGCTGGAAGTATCTGGAGTCAGAATTTTTTCTGACAGCAACTTTACCCAATATACCCTTTGTCTCCTTAAGACCTTAGTATAACTAAGTCAAAATGAAGACATTTATCATTACTTTTGCAATGTAGTTTATGAGCTTCAGAATGGACAGATGTCCTTTTTAAAACCACATATGCACCAAAGGATGACTGAAATATTACCATTAATACGCTATTCTTCAGCTTAAGCCTTTGGTTTCTGCTAAAAGGTAAATCCATCTTGCCTCCCCTCCAATCTTTCCTCTCAAAAATGCTGGGATCATGCTCGAGCTATTTGCATTTATTTACACTTGAGTTCAAATAATATTTAAAATCTTTCTTGAGGGCAGGATTGCTTTAGGAAAGCCATTTGGTGTTCTAGCAAGGGCACTGGGGCTCGTAGTCAAAGTCTGGAGGCCTTTCAGTCTCTTACAGAATGTGCTTTGGGGAAATGAATGAATTATTCGAGGCTCAATTTTGTTATCTGGGAATCGGACATTCTCATCCCCACTCTGCATATCTATAACAAACTTTAATAGAGAGTTCCAGAGTGTCTATCTAAATCATCAATTCTCCTTTACTTTAATAAATGTCCTCCCATTTTCCCCCAGCCAAGAAGGAAAGCTCAAGCAGCATGTATCATCTAAGTGACTCACCAGCCAAACTTGAGCAGATGGAGGTAGCCCCCAAATCTAGTTGAACCAATTCTATTCTCTCTTCCAGAGCTTCAGAATTGTGATTTAAAGGTGACAGCTCATCTGCTCTGGTGGCTGAAGCTGGACTTTGCCAATCGGGGAGCCACAGGATGTCCTTAGTCTTTTTGAGTCAACTAAGGAGTGCCCAAATCTGATTTTCAGGGAGAGGGAAAGAAGCAGAGGTGCCAATGGGAGCAAGGATTGGAAACTAAGCATGCATGCTGGGTTACTGCTCACATTCCAGATCTTTATTTCTGATTTCCCCATGGTCTAGGAGTGACATTCCTGGCCTTGGGCTTTCTCAGGAATTCTTGTATTCTTATAATAATTTCCTTATTTTTGCCTAATCTAGCACAGGGTGATTTCTATTTGTTACAAGCAAAATGGCCTTATCAAATTAATACACTGGTGTAGAGAGCCAGTGGGATGGAGCGAAGGATGCCCTATCATCTTATGGAGTTGATTAGGCAGAAAAATAGCCAATTGGAAAGCCCGTTCATCATTGGTGGATTTCCATTCACTGATTTCGCTTAGGTTCCCAAATACCTGAAAATACTCAAATCTAATGGACATTTTTCACTCTGACTTTTTTGAGCTCTCTGCACATCTTACTCAATTCTTTCTTTTTTCCTACAACAGCATTTCTATTTGCTTTATACTTTAATATGTGTATGGCTTTAAGTTATAATTGATGTATAATAAACTGCACATATTTAAAGTGTATAATTTGATGAGTTTTGATATCTGTATATGTCTGTAAAACCATCACCACAATCAAGCCAATGAATATATCCATCACTTCTAAAAGTTCTCTATGGTTCTTTGAAATCTATCTGTCTCCCACCCCCCAACTCCTTCCAGGTTCCCTAGCAATCACTGATCTCCTTACTGTCATTATAGATTAATTTGCATTTTAAAGGATTTTATATGGACAGGATCATATAGTATGTGCTTTCCTCAGAAATCAGTCCTGCAATAAATATTATGCACTTGTGCTCTGGGAATACAGCCAAGAGCTAGGCTGTCACAATTCCTGCTATTATGGAGCTTCAGTCTACCAAGAAAGGCAAATAATGAATAAATAATTGCCATAAGGCCTGTTGTGTGATTTGATGAGAGGAGAAGCATCTGTGGAAGTCTACAGTAGGGAGAATCTAACTTAGGGACTTATGAGAGGGTCTAATAGGAGTTAGGCCAGTAAGGGGTGCAAAAATAGGGGTGGGGTCCAGGCAGAAGAAACAGAGCATGAGAAGGTTCAGAGGAAGGAGAAAATGTGGCCTATTTAAGGAACAGAAAGGGCAGTGTGGCTGGAGGCCTCCAGGGGAGGAGCAGTAGAGGAGGAGTGTGGAGAGGCAAGCCAGTTACTGGGATCTTATGGTTCAGATTCTCCTTCCTTTTTACTTCTGTGAAATTACCACCCCTTCTACCCTGGCCCTCATCCAATGTTTCCACTAGTACCTTGTCTTCTTTCATTTCTTTGCCAAGAAATGCTCTGCATTATGGTTGTGACAAAGGAAAAATAAAATTAGAAAAGGAATTGAATTACCCAGAGTCTTACAGCTAACTGGGGTCAAGGTGTAGTTACAACTCAGCTCTGCAAACTCCAAGGCGAATACTTCTGCACACCTAGAGGGTAGAATAGAACATCAATTACCCACTGCTTTTGAGCACCTGACACCACAGCGGACCCAGGCATCATGGTAGAAATCAAGAAGTGTAGTTTTGTCAACTGTCAAAGACAGGATTGAAAGAAGCATTCATTGACACACAGACAACCCCATGCTACTTAGCACTTGATTACCTACTGGCAGTAAAGCCTGTTTATGCCATCCCTCACATTTTTCTTAAATTTAACGAAGTAATTAATGCTATAAAAAGCTATGAAAATATAAATGTAAGAAAGCATGTTGCATAATTAATAATATATGCATATGCATAGCAGGGTGTTTCTTTTTGGCATACATATGCATATGTCATTAATTGAAACATAATCACTTTGTTTTACTACCAGGGTATTGGTACAAACCATACTCACTGTATGTCAGCTCCCAGCCTGACTCCAGGGTTATATTACATTGATAACACAGGAGAACCAGCAGAAGGGACAAGGGGCAAAGTGTGGGGCCAGAGAACTGGGAAACTGGCTGGCTTCTAGACTCAGTTGTGCATTAACTCACTATGTAAGTTCAGTTATTTTTTCTCTGAGCTTCAGTTTCTCTGTAAAGTTGAAGGTTGGACTACATTGGTTGTTTACATAAATAAAAACAGCATATCTCTTTAAAAAAATCTTAAAGGAAACTGATATATAAAGTTTGGAGTAGGGCTTTTGTCTAGTTCAATGCTCTCCTACTCCATGCTCATCCTGTGCTCCTCAACCCTCTCTTATTTAGTTTGAAACATCCTGGAAAACTCTCTGCAGTAATTTTTTCCCCTTACAGAAATACCAGTTACAGGCCTATGATATATTAGGCCACCTAACACAGTGTGAAATACTCGCTAGGAACTCAAGGAACTTGGTTTCACATGTGGGCTCTGTCCCCATTAGCAGTATGACCTCACACCAGGCTCCTACTCAACTTGTATGTCTTGCACTTCTCATCTATCAAGAAAGAGGGTAATCCTTGTCCTCCTTTATCATACAGAGGTATTAAATATTTTATATCAAAATGCTCTGAATGTAAAGTGTACAGTAAGAAGACAAAAACACTCTTTTTCTAAGGGTCAAGGATGTAGACACTGAACCCAATTGCTCTGCCACTTACTAACTGTGTGACCCTGATAAGTTACTAACCTTTCTGTGTGGCGGTTTCCTTATCTGTAAAATGGACATCGTAATATTGTCTATGTATAAGTTGTCAGATTGATTAAGCTATTACACTTAAAGGCAGTGTTTACACGCAATTAATGTGTATCATTAGTATTGTACTATTTTTATTGTCATTATCATTGGTGGAAAGCAACAGGTCACTGAGGGTGAGGAGGCCTGGATTCTAACCTTAAACCTGCTACTCCCTAAATGTGAGTCTGAATCAAATGAAAAGGCCCACATCAGAGAATTCGGCAGGTCACATGGGAAGAGAGACCAGAGGAAATGTTGATATTGAAATGCTTCCAGAAATTAGCACATATTTACAAATATCGAGTTTAGTTATGTCTTCCAAAGACTAACCTAAATAAAACAACAGTATTGAAAAATGATCCTGTGAGTTAAATGGAGTTTTAACAGGACATTCAAATTTCCTCTCTCAGTTTTGGCTGAGGCATGAAGAAAATAGATGTTAGATTTTAAAATAGGACTATCATACAGGATTTGCAAAAAGGAGATGGCAGATAAATCATTTACCACCTGAGTCACCCACCCACCTCATGCTATGCAGTTGGAGAGTCTGAGAAGAGACTGAGAGGATGTTGGGAGAAAAATGCCAGTGTGCTGTGAGTCTTCCTGCCATGGCGAGGCTTGGGCAGGAGCCTGCCACTCACCTAGGTAGAAGGCCTTTGAGACTATTTTCTACTAAGTTTCTCTTTATGTTGTAGTCTGAGGAATGGAGAGTAGGGGTGGGAAAATTTTAGTAGAGGAATAGGCTGGTCATCATTCCTGAGAAAGTGGCTGACCAGAGCAAAGTGGAGGTTATGAAGGTGGGGATCAAACAGTGTTCTCAGAGCGAGGCTCTCAGTGCAAAGATCCCTAAGCAATTCTAGTGAATCAGATGTGGGCTACATGTGCTAGATCCTGGAAAGGCATCATTTTAGGCATTTCCAGGAGGACCTCCTGAAAATAAAAAGGTCTCACCTAAAAGAGGCTGGCGATGTACTGCCCAATTCCCAGGGACTCAGCAGGAGTTGCAAGTAATGAGGCAAAAGAAAGATACATAAGCCCCCTTCAAGGGAGCTGTGGATGCCAGCCACTCACTGATAAAACCTTTCTGGAAACCCCCCTCAAAGTAGACAGTCAAGTGTAAACAGCTCCCAAGGCTAAGGAATGCAACGTCAGTGCATGACAATGTCAGTCAAGCCAGAACTTTCCTGTTCCACTCCGCCCTACACCTGCAATCCTGAAGAGACTGGAAATCTTGGCTAGCAAAATGGAGGAAGGGTTGAAGCACAAGATGGGGAAAGAGATTAGAAGTCATATATAATCTGTACTCCTGTCAATCATTTGCAAGTTTTCACCTATAAAGTGTACAAATTAGGTATTCAGAGAAGTTTTCCTATTAAATTTAAAGTTCTGACTACCATACCATGTAGGACTAGATATTTCATTCTCTGGATTAAGCTGTACATATTACCTCAAAAAAGCCATGAGGCCACTATGGGCAGTGAGGAGCTAATAGCACTATTTAAAAAGACAGAATGAGACAAAAGCACAGTGCATCATAACATTTCTCAGATCATACTTAACAAATTAATTGTTATCAGGTGCTAAACTACATATTATGAAAATCAGATCTTTTACACAAAAGATGGAGAAATTTGTTGTTCTTGTGTTAAACTGAGAAAGATGAAATTCGTTTCAGCCCATAAGCTGTGTAAATCAAAAGGTTGCAACCAAGATGTTTAGATCTCAGAATTAACTTGTGATCTCAGGGTTATTCTGGGACAGAGCTAGCCTCACATATAGGTTAAATAGTTTACTATCCAAATTCTGTAACTGTAGAGGGATTTGAGGCTTCCACCATATCCTCTACCATTTTCTTAAAAGTAGATATACTTAATATTTCATTTGATGCTCACGATTATTCTTTTTGCTTCAAAACTTTGGTTTCTGCAGCAATTAATATCCCATAGTCATACTTTGTCATCTTTAGTCACTTACACCTCAGCCTAACTTGGCAGGAAGCATTTTTGAATACTAGCTTTGGAAGGGGAAGTGGATGGCTTCTGTGTGCTTGGGGTAGTCAAGGAGGAAATGCTCTGAAGTCAACATTTGCCATTGTCCAACTGACTTAGCTATGCTCTGGGTCCCAGAAATGTCCATTATTTCCTCTTCTATTATTTGAATTTCTTTAAACCATGACAGAGAAGAGAAGTTGAGTTTAACAATTCTGTTAGCACATTGGAATATCAGAAGAAAACCTAAGGGTCATCCAGAATTGGGAAAGTAACTACATTTCACTTTGCATGTCAACTCCCAACATGGTACTGTCAGGCCTCTGAGCCCAAGCCAAGCTATCGCATCCTCTGTGACTTGCACGTATATGCCCAGATGGCCTGAAGTAACTGAAGAATCACAAAAGAAGTGAATGTGTCCTGCCCCAACTTAACTGATGACATTCCACCACAAAAGAAGTCTAAATGGCCGGTCCTTGCCTTAACTGATGACATTACCTTGTGAAAGTCCTTTTCCTGGCTCATCCTGGCTCAAAAAGCACCCCCACTGAGCACCTTGCGACCCCCACTCCTGCCCACCAGAGAACAAACCCCCTTTGACTGTAATTTTCCTTTACCTACCCAAATCCTGTAAAACGGCCTCATCCTTATCTCCCTTTGCTGACTCTCTTTTTGGACTCAGCCCGCCTGCACCCAGGTGAAATAAACAGCCATGTTGCTCACACAAAGCCTGTTTGGTGGTCTCTTCACACGGACGCGCATGAAATTTGGTGCCTAAATTTGGTGCCATGACTCGGATCGGGGGACCTCCCTTGGGTGATCAATCCCCCGTACTCCTGTTCTTTGCTCCGTGAGAAAGATCCATCTATGACCTCAGGCCCTCAGACCGACCAGCCCAAGGAACATCTCACCAATTTTAAATCAGGTAAGCGGCCTCTTCTTACTCTCTTCTCCAACCTCTCTCACCGTCCCTCAACCACTTTCTCCTTTCCACTCTTCAATCTCCCCCTTCTCTTAATTTCAATTCCTTTCATTTTCTGGGAGAGACAAAGGAGACATGTTTTATCCGTGGACCCAAAACTCCGGCGCCGGTCACGGACTGGGAAGGCAGCCTTCCCTTGGTGTTTAATCATTGCAAGGATGCTTCTCTGATTATACACTCACGTTTCAAGGGTGTCAGACCACACAGGGACGCCTGCCTTAGTCCTTCACACTTAGCGGCAAGTCCCGCTTTTCTGGGGGAGGGGCAAGTACCCCAACCCCTTCTCTGTCTCTACCCCTTCTCTGCTTTCCTGGGGCAGGGGCAAGTACCCTTCAACCCCTTCTCCTTCACCCTTAGCGGCAAGTCCCACTTTCCTAGGGAGCAAGAATCCCCCAATCGCTTATTTCCAAACCCCAACCTATATCTCTGCACCCCAATCCCTTATTTCCGCACCCTGACCTCTTATCTCTGTGCCCCAATCCCTTATTTCCGTGCCCCAACCCCTTCTCTGCTTTTCTGGAGGGCAAGAACCCCCCACCCCTTCTCCATGTCTCTACTCTTTTCTCTGGGCTTGCCTCCTTCACTATAGGTAAGCTTCCACCTTCCATTCCTCCTTCTTCTCCCTTAGCCTGTGTTCTCAAAAACTTAAAACCTCTTCAACTCACACCTGATCTAAAACCTAAATGCCTTATTTTCTTCTGCAATGCCGCTTGACCCCAATACAAACTGGACAGTAGTTCCAAATAGCCGGAAAATGGCACTTTCAATTTTTCCATCCTACAAGATCTAAATAATTCTTGTCGTAAAATGGGCAAATGGTCTGAGGTGCCTGACATCCAGGCATTCTTTTACACATCAGTCCCTTCCTAGTATCTATGCCCAGTGCAACTCGTCCCAAATCTTCCTTCTTTCCCTCCCGCCTGTCCCCTCAGTCCCAACCCCAAGCATCGCTGAGTCTTTCTAATCTTCCTTTTCTACAGACCCATCTGACCTCTCCCCTCCTCACCAGCCCAAGCTAGGTCCCAATTCTTCCTCAGCCTCCGCTCCTCCACCCTGTAATCTTTTCATCACCTCCCCTCCTCACACCTGGTCTGGCTTACAGTTTCCTTCTGTGACTAGCCCTCCCCCACCTGCCCAGCAATTTACTCTTAAAAAGGTGGCTGGAGCCAAAGGCATAGTCAAGATTAATGCTCCTTTTTCTTTATCCCAAATCAGATAGCGTTTAGGCTCTTTTTCATCAAATATAAAAATCCAGCCCAGTTCATGGCTCATTTGGCAGCAACCCTGAGACGCTTTACAGCCCTAGAACCTAAAAGGTCAAAAGGTCATCTTATTCTCAATATTCATTTTATTACCCAATCTGCTCCTGACATTAAATAAAACTCCAAAAATTGGAATCTGGCCCTCAAACCCCACAACAGGACTTAATTAACCTCACCTTCAAGGTGTACAATAACAGAAAAAAGTTGCAATTCCTTGCCTCCACTGCGAGACAAACCCTAGCCACATCTCCAGCACACAAGAACTTCCAAACACCTGAACAGCAGCAGCCAGGCGTTCCTCCAGAACCTCCTCCCCCAGAAGCTTGCTACACGTGCCAGAAATCTGGCTACTGGGCCAAGGAATGCCCGCAGCCCGGGATTCCTCCTAAGCCGTATCCCATCTCTGGGGGACCCCACTGAAAATCGGACTGTTCAACTCACCTGGCAGCTACTCCCAGAGCCCCTGGAACTCTGGCCCAAGGATCTCTGACTGACTCCTTCCCAGATCTTCTCAGCTTAGCGGCTGAAGACTGACACTGCCCGATCGCCTTGGAAGCCCCCTAGACCATCACGGACGCCGAGCTTCAGGTAACTCTCACAGTGGAAGGTAAGCCCGTCCCCTTCTTAATCAATACGGAGGCCACCCACTCCACATTACCTTCTTTTCAAGGGCCTATTTCCCTTGCCTGCATAACTGTTGTGGGTATTGACAGCCAGGCTTCTAAACCTCTTAAAGCTCCCCAACTCTGGTGCCAACTTCGACAATACTCTTTTAAGCACTCCTCTTTAGTTATCCCCACCTGCCCAGTTCCCTTATTAGGCTGAGACACTTTAACTAAATTATCTCCTTCCCTGACTATTCCTGGACTACAGCTATATCTCATTGCCGCCCTTCTTCCCAATCCAAAG
The DNA here is from genome assembly GCF_000001405.40 of Homo sapiens. Lineage (NCBI taxonomy): Eukaryota > Metazoa > Chordata > Mammalia > Primates > Hominidae > Homo > Homo sapiens. Next base: position 153,452,590 of record NC_000005.10, on the reverse strand, counting down.
CCTCCTTTGCGTCCTCCTCTTTTATCCCCCCACCTTAACCCACAAGTATAAGATACCTCTACTCCCTCCTTGGCGACCGATCATGCACTTCTTACCATCTCATTAAAACCTAATCACCCTTACCCCACTCAACGCCAATATCCCATCCCGCAGCACGCTTTAAAAAGATTAAATTCTGTTATCACTCGCCTGCTACAGCATGGCCTTTTAAAGCCTATAAACTCTCCTTACAATTCTCCCATTTTACCTGTCCTAAAACCAGACAAGCCTTACAAGTTAGTTCAGGATCTGCGCCTTAGCAACCAAATTGTTTTGCCTATCCACCCTGTGGTGCCCAACCCATGCACTCTTTTGTCCTCAATACCTTCCTCCACAACTCACTATTCTGTGCTTGATCTTAAAGATGCTTTTTTCACTATTCCCCTGCACCCCTCATCCCAGCCTCTCTTTGCTTTCACTTAGACTGACCCTGACAGCCATTAGGCTCAGCAAATTACCTAGGCTGTACTGCTGCAAGGCTTCATAGACAGCCCCCATTACTTCAGTCAAGCCCAAATTTCATCCTCATCTGTTACCTATCTCGGCATAATTCTCATAAAAACATACGTGCTTTCCCTGCTGATCGTGTCCAATTAATCTCCCAAACCTCAATCCCTTACAAAACAACAACTCCTTTCCTTCCTAGGCATAGTTAGTGCGGTCAGAATTCTTACACAAGAGCCAGGACCGCACCCTGTAGCCTTTCTGTGCAAACAACTTGACCTTACTGTTTTAGCCTAGCCCTCATGTCTGCGTGCAGTGGCTGCTGCTGCTTTAATACTTTTAGAGGCCCTCAAAATCACAAACTATGCTCAACTCACTCTCTACAGTTCTCATAACTTCCAAAATCTATTTTCTTCCTCATACCTGATGCATATACTTTCTGCTTCCTGCCTCCTTCAGCTATACTCACTCTTTGTTGAGTCTCCCACAATTACCATTGTTCCTGGCCCGGACTTCAATCCAGCCTACCATATTATTCCTGATACCACACCTGACCCCCATGACTGTATCTCTCTGATCCACCTGACATTCACCACATTCCCCCAAATTTCCTTCTTTCCTGTTCCTCACCCTGATCACACTTGACTTATTGATGGCGGTTCCACCAGGCCTAATTGCCACACACCAGCAAAGGCAGGTTATACTATAGTTCAAGCCACTAGCCTGCCTCTTAGAACCTCTCATTTCCTTTCCATCATGGAAATCTATCCTCAAGGAAATAACTTTTCAGTGTTCCATCTGCTATTCTACTACTCCTCAGGGATTATTCAGGCCCCCTCCCTTCCCTACACATCAAGCTCAAGGATTTGCCCCCACCCAGGACTGGCAAATTAGCTTTACCCAACATGCCTGAGTCAGGAAACTAAAATACCTCTTAGTCTAAATAGACACTTTCACTGAATAAGTAAAGGCCTTTCCTACAGGGTCTGAGAAGGCCACCACAGTCATTTCTTCCCTTCTGTCAGACATAATTCCTCAGTTTAGCCTTCCAACCTCTATACAGTCTGATAACAGACGAGCCTTTATTAGTCAAATCAGCCAAGCAGTTTTTCAGGCTCTTAGTGTTCAGTGAAACCTTTATATCCCTTATGGTCCTCCGTCTTCAAGAAAAGTAGAATGGACTAAAAGTCTTTTAAAAACACACCTCACCAAGCTCAGCCACCAACTTAAAAAGGACTGGGCAATACTTTTACCACTTTCCCTTCTCAGAATTCAGGCCTGTCCTCGGAATGCTACAGGATACAGCGCATTTAAGCTCCTATATAGATGCTCCTTTTTATTAGGCCCCAGTCTCATTCCAGACACCAGACCAACTTAGACTGTGCCCCTCCCCCCCAAAAAAACTTGTCATCCCTACTATTTTCTGTCTAGTCATACTCCTATTCGCCGTTCTCAACTACTCATACATGCCCTGCTCTTGTTTACACTGCCAGTTTACACTGTTTCTCCAAGCCATCACAGCTGATATCTCCTGGTGCTATCCCCAACCTGCCACTCTTAACTCTTGAAGTAAATAAATAATCTTTGCTGGCAGGACTATGCCAAATCTCCTTAAGCACTCTCTAATCAGATATCCTGAGTCGTCCCAATTCTTAGACCTTTTATACCTGTTTTTCTCCTTCTGTTATTCCATTTAGTTTTTCAATTCATACAAAACCGTATCCAGGCCATCATCAATCATTCTATACGACAAATGTTTCTTCTAACATCCCCACAATATCACCCCTTACCACAAGACCTCCCTTCAGCTTAATCTCTCCCACTCTAGGTTCCCACGTCGCCCCTAATCCCGCTTGAAGCAGCCCTGAGAAACATCGCCCATTCTCTCTCCATACCACCCACCAAAAATTTTCGCCGCCCCAACAGTTCAACACTATTTTATTTTTCTTATTAATATAAGAAGGCAGGAATGTCAGGCCTCTGAGCCCAAGCCAAGCCATCGCATCCCCTGTGACTTGCACGTATATGCCCAGATGGCCTGAAGTAACTGAAGAATCACAAAAGAAGTGAATATGCCCTGCCCCACCTTAACTGATGGCATTCCACCACAAAAGAAGTCTAAATGGCCGGTCCTTGCCTTAACTGATGACATTACCTTGTGAAAGTCCTTTTCCTGGCTCATCCTGGCTCAAAAAGCACCCCCACTGAGCACCTTGCGACCCCCACTCCTGCCCACCAGAGAACAAACCCCCTTTGACTGTAATTTTCCTTTACCTACCCAAATCCTGTAAAACGGCCCCACCCTTATCTCCCTTCGCTGACTTTCTTTTTGGACTCAGCCCGCCTGCACCCAGGTGAAATAAACAGCCATGTTGCTCACACATAGCCTGTTTGGTGGTCTCTTCACACAGACGCGCATGAAAGGTACTGATAGCCTGCAGCATATGGCTAAAAATGACTATAAAGTCTGTCCTTACTGAGGGGATCATGATGACATCTATGGGTGAAAGCAGGAAAGGTAAGCCATCTCTTTTCCAATGTGGATCTCTGCAATCTGCACCCACCCAGGTTCTTCCCTTCTAACCTGCCTCTCTCCACAGCTGGGGCTATTTGACTTCCAGTTTCCTCCTCTGTAAAAGGGTGACAATAGTTCCTGTAGCATAGAATAATTGTGAAGTGCAAGAGAGCTAATGTGTATAAAGTGTTAACACACACACCTGGCCTATACTAAGGGCCCAATATTTGGTAGTTATCAAGTGTTTCCACAGCTTTACAAGATGAGATTTATTCCCATCTTTCAGGTAATTTAAAGATATTTAAAAAGGGTTCCAATTGACAATCACAACACCATACAGCTGTGAGTTACCAAATGAAGGTTTGTATCTAGATCTTTTCTGGCTCTGAACTCATGCCTTTTCTGCTATATCATTCTGCCTTCTAGTAACTGAAATCTGACTATTTAGATTATAGCCTTGGACCTAGGATCGAGTCACTTGCCTGTGATTTCTTGGATTATATGTCTGAATTCAGAAGCTTATCTGTTGCTGGAGCTCTCATTACTATTGATCCCTCTCCCCCAACTCCTCATATCTAAGCCTTCAGGGTTGACTTATGGGCTGGCCTAGGATCTGATGTCTGTCCCAATGACCTCAGGTACCCAACTCCTGCAAACAGACCTATCTTTCCAGCTGCTATGCCAGTCAGCAAATCTAGCTTACTCAGTCAGTGATTTTTTTTTTTTTATGGAGCCCTAACTATGTGCCAGGCATTATTCTATGCAAAAACAGTGAGCAAATGGTTACAGCCCATGCCCTAAATCTAATGTGAACAAAGTCACACAAATATCTAGCTATGAGCTTCGACAATCAATACAAAGGAAAAGTACAGGGTATAACAAGGGGATCTGACCCAGTTTGGGGTGTTAGTTTTTGAACCTCTTTCAAACCACATCTCTTTATTAGTATTTTGGGGATAAGAAAAGTTGTCACCTCATGCTGGTGTTATAAGGATTAAATGATGTGATTTTAAAGCACTAAGCACAGTGACTGGCACAAAGAACATTCACAAATGTTGCAATGGCTGCCAGTATTATGATTTTTATTATTCCATCTTTTATAGAATAAGCATTTATCTTGAGAACCAAAGAAGGTAGAGACTTTGGTCAGGAATTTCTCAGTTCTAACTTGCCTCTCTTTCCCTCTCCAGCTATAGTTAATTGGGCCGTGCATGGCTAAATCTCAATATATAAAATATGATACATTAACATCTAGTTAAAGAGCCAACTGAGGAAGTTTTTCAGTTGCTAGGAAGGTCATAGCTGACAGCAAAACTTGTCTCTGAACTCCCCATCTGAGGTTCTATTACACTACACATCTTGTTATACTTTCTCATTTTAGGATGATATCCCAATAAAAAACAAATTTTCACAAGTTGATAAAATAGCCTAACATGTAACAAACTAGACTCTAAATATGTAACAGCTTTAGGAATTTCTGTTTTTGCTACTTTTTTTTTGTTACATAACCAAAGGCTCAAGCGGCCCAGACTGTAATCAGCAACCCACGATATCCTTGATTTCATCAGTTGTTTGAAACCACAAGGTCCTCTCACCTGAATTTTCTCAGTAGGAATCCTATCGGGAAAGTCAATGACAGGTTGAGATGATTGGGCTCTGCAGATCTAAAATGCAATTTGATGCTTGTTTTTAATTCCTAGTATCAAAACCAAGCAGATCAGAAAACAAATGTGAAATGAGAAAGATAAAAGGATGCAGATTAAAAAGAGGGGGCCGGGACAGGAGGAGCTTGGAGCGGTAGCAATTGCCACAATTCAAAACGGCTGGCAGAGATACCATCTGCGGTGGTGGTAGCAGCGTTTCCCAGATTCCTTTGCAAACTTACCAGATAAACATACACGTGGGCCTCGCCTGAAGTGACGGATCATGGACTCTCTAATAGGCAAAAGAATCAAAGCTTTCAATGAGACTTGCTTATTCAAAGGGAAGGAGTATCAATTTTTATTCCTTGCAGCAGCCTGAGATCCCATTCTTCTTTATCATCTCTGTACTTAGGGAGGATGAATAAGACATCCAACTAAATGCAAACTGTCACACTGTACACTGTGCGAGCTCCTTGCCTGCTACTGGTGTCTACCAGGTGTTATTAAAATCTGCAGCCTACTCTGCCTCAAGTCTTGCTGTTGTTCCATAGATGCTCAAGTAGTTTTGTACCCTAAACAGAGCAAACATGGCTTTGTCAGTGGATTCTTTACTGTTTGTTCATTAGCTTGTTCGTTCATTCCTTCATTCACCTAGCTGTTGAGCGTCTACTTTTGCCAGGCACAATTTTTAGCACAGAGAAGTATAGAATACAAGAGACAAAGCCATTGCTCCATTGCCCTCATGGAGCTTACATTTTATTGGTCTTGGACCATTTATGAATCTTACATTTATTGAACACCTTTTATCTGCTAGGATTTATACCAGCTGCTGGGAGAACAAAAATGAGTGAGAACATGTACCCTGCCATCTAGTGATACCAAAAACTCAAGCAGAAAATTGTATTAGTAAGTGGCAGGGACAGTATTAGATAGAGGTCTAAGAGAGGATAATTAAATTAGAATATGTATAAAAAATATATATATAAAATAAAGCTTCTCAAAAGGACTTGGATTCATTTTTCTGTTTTTAGTTATTTATTCATGCAATAAATAGTTGAATACCTCAAAATGCTTAGAAGAGTAACAGGCACACAAAAAACGTAGATAAATGTTAGTCCTTGCTGTTATCCATATTATCTTTAGCCAGGCATGGTATTAGGCACATGGTAATATAAGGAAGCTTAAGGCAGCTTAACCTATAAGGAAAATGAGACCTGGAAAATTAAGTAACTTTTTCAAGCTGGAAGTAGAATGCAAATCTCCAGACACCTAGTCTGGTTCCTTTCCAATACGATGCTGTTTCACATACTACGAACATAGAAGTGGAATTCATTGTAGAGGTCTCTATTTTTAAAAATGAATAATGAGTTTTTAACACACTTTTTGTAGACAGGCTCAGGGAAAAAATGTGCCTGAATTCATCCTTTCTCAGCTGTATCAGACCCAGAAAATTCTCCTGGAGTAATGCTCAGGGCGAGAAAGCTTAGGATTGTGTCACCATCTGTTCTAAGTAAATATCACCACTGGCCTTGATTTAGCATTTTCTTTTCCTGGGATCTCCATGTTCGGGTTTAGAGAAGGATACCAGGACACAGGGCAGTCAGCCAAGGTCAACTGGGGAAGAGCTAAAGAAAAAAATCAATCCCATCCACAGTCTCTCATGAAACCACAGAGCCTGTTGAACACACAGGCACTTGGGTTTGGAAAGACCCTAGAGAACACAATTCCTCAATTCCTGCTGCAGAGAAATACAGTTTGGATATTTAAATCCAGGCATCTCTTGCCCGTGGGCTATGTTTCCAAAGGCAAATATTGTCGAAGGAATCATTTCGTCATGCTGTGCCGTGGGTGGCAGCAGGCTGAGGGCACTGGGAACAGAGCCAAGACTGGGGAATATAGCACAAGGGAGACGTGGGTTGTAGGGTGTGGAGGAGTGATGGGGTCAGAAGCCAGGCAGTTAAGTCACAAATGTTACAGGGTAGAGCAATGTAGGATGGCCAGAGCTCATGCAAATGTGAACCCACCGGAAGTGAAGTCTGCAAAGTTTGGTGGCGCTAGAGAACCCAGAAACTGAGCTACACCAAGCAAACAGCTACATGTTGCCAGCAGCAAGAAAAGGATCATAACATGGAGATGATTTCTGATTCAATCTCACCTGCCTTCCATCGCTTTTTGTTTTGTTGAAAGCCAATTGTAAGCAAGCTGGCCAAAAGCCTCTAGGATGTGACCTTTTAGTTGTCACTGGGTTACGTTTTCACGCAGAGGTGGGGCACAGAGAGAACTCTGGCTGCAAGCTTACTTACGATGTTCAGCCTTGATGAAAAACTCACAAGGAATAAGCTCTTAGTAAGAAATGGAAAAAGAGCATTTATTCATTCAAGTATTTGTTCAGTACCTACTATGTGCCAAACACTGTTCAGTACTGAAAATAACACTGGCAGAGAAAGGCAGTCATACATAGTCTCTGCCCTCTCATAGTTTACAAACTGGTTTGGGAGAACAGATGAAAATCAAAGAAGTGCAAAGAGATAGAGAAAGAGAAAGATTGCTGCAGAATGTGCTCCAAAAGAGAAGTACCCAGTGCTGTCAACAGAAAATGAACTATTCAAGGTGGTCAAGGAAAGCCTTCTGAGGAAGTGACAATTTGAAGTTTGCAGAAAGAAACTAGGATGAGGTAGGGAAGAAGGACACCCTAGTTCTTCCGCTAATGGGCTTTGGCAGGAGGGGTATGGTGAGAATAAATGCCTAGTTTATTTCAAAATTTAAGTTTTATGGTTAACTAATCAATTTATAAAGCAGTTTACATCTGGCAGTAGAACCCACTGAACCTACTGAATTTTCTCAGTAGAAATCCTATCGGGAAAGTCAATGGCAGGCTGAGATGCTAGATGATGTATGCTAGATGTGCAGAGCCCAAGTTTAGAAGTTACAGATTCTGTCCTCAAGAAGACACATTGAAAAGAGGTGTAAATTTACCTAAAGTTTCTATTGAATTCTTCCTCTGTGCTAGAATCTTTACATTTGCTATTTAACATCTAGAGGTAGCTACTTTTTCCCCATTCAACAGATGGGAAACTGAGGTTCAGATATATAACTCACAGACCTCAGCCTGCTAGCTACATATCTGTCTGATTGCCAAGCTCATGCACTTTTCATGTAACAAAATGCCTCTTATCAGAACCCTCTATGAAAACTTACCAGAAAGATTTTGGGTGCCAACTGCTTTTTCCCCTTCAGCAGAGCTCTATTTAGATCTGAACTATGGATGTGTGTAACTGTGCAACTGCACATATATACAGTTTAAAACGTTCACCTTTTAGTAGTATACACTAAAGGTATACATAAACTCACTCTCTCTCTCTCTGTCTCTCTGTCTCTGTCTCTCTCTCTCTCTCTCTCTCTCTCTCTCTCTCTCAGGGTACTAATATGCAAAAGGTCCAGATATAAAAAGGGGCCCTCAGTCCTTAGCCATAGGAACATAAATTCAATCTTTCTTCATTGGCTCAGACTGCCCTTCAGGATCTTTAAAATGTGCAGGTCATCATTATGCACATCAGTTATCACAGTATGGTAACTGGCTTGATGTGCTGCTTAATGAAGTGTTACCAAGTCATAAAATGCCAATATTTAAAAACCACCAAGGTCTTTAATTATCATTTCAATCTAGGGTTTGTCAAACTATGTCCTATAAGAAATAGTTCTACATTAGGTTAAGATGTGAACCAGAGGAGGGAAAAAACATATGTGTGTATATTTTTATTTATATACATTATATATATTTATATGATTATTTAGTGCTATATATGTATATATTATATATAATAACATAAATATATATTATATAATACATAATATATTATTATATATCACTGTATCATATACTTTTTCCTCAAATAAATTCAAGAAATATTTTGTTTTAGTTTACACCATCATGGATCTTCTCAGAGCCTATAATACAAAAATGGGAAAGTGATCCCATGATGGGAGTAAGAATAAACAGGTTTTGGCCGGGCGCGGTGGCTCACGCCTGTAATCCCAGCACTTTGGGAGGCCGAGGCGGGCGGATCACGAGGTCAGGAGATCGAGACCATCCCGGCTAAAACGGTGAAACCCCGTCTCTACTAAAAATACAAAAAATTAGCCGGGCGTAGTGGCGGGCTTCTGTAGTCCCAGCTACTTGGGAGGCTGAGGCAGGAGAATGGCGTGAACCCGGGAGGCGGAGCTTGCAGTGAGCCGAGATCCCGCCACTGCACTCCAGCCTGGGCGACAGAGCGAGACTCCGTCTCAAAAAAAAAAAAAAAAAAAAAAAAAGAATAAACAGGTTTTCCTAAAATTATTTAGTGCTATATTTGAATATTTGTCCACTCCAAAACTCATGTTGAAATTTAATCCCCAATGTGGCAGTATTGAGAGGTGGGGTCTTTAAGAGGTGATTGGGTCATGAAGACTCTGCCCTCATGAATGGAGTGATCGATTCAGGGATTAATGGATTAGTGGGTTAATGGATCAATGGCTATCATGGGAGTGGGACTGGTGGTTTTATAAGATGAGGAAGAGAGCCTGAACCAGCACAGTCAGCTCCTCGCCAGGTGATATCTTACCCTCCTCAGGACTCTGCAGAGTCCCCACTAGCAGGAAGACCCTCACCAGCCATGGACTTCTCAGCCTCTATAAGTGTAAGAAATAAATTCTTTTTCTTAATAAATTTCCCAGTTCAGGTATTCTGTTATGAGCAACAGAAAACAGACTAAGACATTTAGCTATGAAATGGAACATAATATCCTTTCCTGGAACAATTTTTCAAAACAAAATGCAATTTTTATAACAGAGGTTATTCCAAGCTACTTGTTTTCACACACAGGTATATAGATAGAGGGATAAGCTCTTCTTTTACCCAGATTACTGCCAGCTTTTGTTACAACTAGGACCAGAATCTGGGATTGAAGTTATTGCCTTGACCACCTCACACATCCTAACCTGAACTGACGAATCATATTTGTGTGTATGTTTGGGAACTGGAACATATTATGTTTAAATTCAGGGTTTCTTTGTTTTCTCACTTATTTTTTCTGTCTGTTCTAGGGTCAGAAATTAAAATGGCAAAGCTCACAAATAATATCTCTCCCAGCTTTAAGAAAACTAAATGGAAGAAAGGAGTAGAATTTTAAGATTATTCAAAAATATGAATAATTTGCTATTACTGCCCATGTTTTCTAAGACATAAAAGTTCCCTGGGGTTTTTGTCTCCTGGTCTGTTAGGTTATGGTCCTTTGGCGTCAGAGTGGGCGGTGCCTGGAAGCTTGACAGCACCATCAAAATTCCTGGTGATTTATGGAGAAATCCATTGCTCCTCCAGCTTTGCTAGTAGGCTTTTTTTTTTTTTTTTTTTTTTTTTTTTTTTTTTTTTTTTTTTTTTTTGTGCTCCAGACTCTGTGATTATGAAATGTCACCATGGAAACAGTTCAATATTCTTTTAAAAATATAAAAGCGACTGAAATGAAAAACTACCCAGAATCTCAAGCTCTCTTAAAGTCCAAGCTTTCTGTAAAAGCAAGCAGATTGATTTTGTGTAGGGCAATGAGTGTGCTCGTCCTCTAAAAATAATCTTGCTTCCACTGCCTGATGACGAGTCCACAATTTCATTGTTAAGGATGCAAGGGACCCCTATTAGAAGGAAAAATACCAGAAAACAACTTACTGGAGACACTGTGACAGCCAAAGGATAATTCAGACTCACAGAAACAGAGCAAGATCTAATGTGTCTAGAAATTTGCTCAATAACATGCACACACCTACCCCCCACTGGGCAGCATTCTACATACATTGGAGTATTTTATCAGGCGTAAACTTGACATCCAGATTGATAAGTTCAGTAGGGTCACATACAGGGATTTAACTGACTAAATTGAACTCTGTTTATTTGGCAAACTTGAAAGACTGAGGGGCAGAGAGAACAACTGGGGAATTTAAATAGTTGCCTTTTAAATGTCACTCTTCAGCTCACCCTCTGCATGTCCAGGAGTCAGTGTGAGTTGGAAGAAGTCCATGGGGTGCTCCTAGAGTTGGTCTTGGACCCCCTGGTGCTTTCATAATGAGAGCATCTTACCTCACTGGAACTTTCATGGGTAAAAAAACACATACATTTTTGTTCAGCATAGGAAAAGGCTGGTGAGAAAATGCCCATTCTCCATGATTAAGTTAAAAGATTTTTAAGGGTAATTTTAATAGTTCAAGATTTTCTTGTGACACACTGATTATATGCTTAGCTCCATATAAGATCAGAATCTACCAAATCAGCCATCATTTGTATAGATATATAACCTGATGCTCCAAGTGGTTAGTTGGCAAAGTCACACAGGTGATAACATGAAGAACCAAGTTTCAAAAAGGATATACTTTTAAAAGCCAATTCTGATCTGTGACAAGCTGGCATCAGGGGGTAAAGGTTTTTTTTTTTTTTTTTTTTACCAAGGGTGGTAAAGGTTTCCCTTTATCTATGCATACTCATTCCCTCTTCTTCCTTAGCAAGAGACCCTTATATTGTTGAGTGTGGCAATTTGCCTAGCTAGCTTCAAGTCTGTATTTCCAAGCCTTTCTTACAGATATTTTATACAGGAAAGTCATTGGTAGAAATTTGAAAAGAGACTCACTCACAAAGAAGTTATGCTCTTTTGTTCTTTCTTTTTTTTTTCTGGAACATTCACTTAATGATTGGAGCTTCAGCAGCCATTAGGAACCATGAGGCAACCTAGAAGAGAGGAGTCATTCAGTAAGGATAGTAGAACAGAGGAATAAGAGATATTGAGTCTCTAATGACTACGTACTTATCACAACATGTCTTTTGTAGGAGGGAAAAATAAACTCATGTATTATTTAAGATGCTGTTACTTCGGGCACGTGTCACTGTTAGTCAAAAAAAAAAAATGATAAGCTGCAGTTTATAAACACTTCTATTATAGGTCATTGAGCAATTGGAGAAGAAAATTTCAATTTTAGAGATGCAAGTGATTCTATTTGGTCCAGCTGCCTTTATTCTTTAGAGTGAAATAATGAAAGCTAGTTATTCATTTATTTGAAAAACACTTATCAAGTGTGTAGGACAATAGCAAATTCAAGGAAGCTGAAATAAATAGAGACAGTACTTTCCTACAGAGTACTCACCATTTAGCTTAGGAGTTCCATAAAAAACCTTTAAAAATTCAACCAGGTGAGAGTTATGATGGAGGAATGTACTAAGAAACCTTAAGAATACAGAAGTTGATTATCTAATTCAACTTTGGAAAGGCTAGGTGACATTAAGAAATGCTTTTAAAAGAAATGAGCCCATGGAACAAGGCTTCAAGAAGCAGTAGAAAGTTAAATAGAAAAGAACTGACTGGTCAATGCCACTTAAAAAGCCTGTGACAAGTTCAGGCTGTCAACCCCAGAGTCTTAAATACTACTGCTTTCTGCTTGATACTAATTTAATTACTGAACATGCTTTTAAATAGGAATTTATCCATTTTACTGAACATACAATGATTCTTCTTCTCCACACGGAATAACCACACTGATGACCAACTGAGGTTTCAGGGCAAACTGGGGAAAATATTAATGAGATAATTTTTAAATATGAAATTAAACTGATTTTGATTTTAAAAAGTATACATGGTTATTATTTAAAAAACAATTTGGAAAAGCATAACAAAGAAAGAAATACCTGAAATAGTACCACCACAGCAGGCCCAATTTAAAATAACAAAATCTCTTAACTTCTTATTTTAATAGATGCCCACCACAGAAAGGAAGAAAGGAAGGAAAGAAAAATATATCTTTACATTTTCTGTTACCTGGTTTCTTAAACAGGCAGTGGCTTTCCCAAGCACTGGAGCTGACATCAAGGGGTGCTTACCAAGGATGGTAAAGGTTTCCCTCTATCTAGGCATACCCATTCCCTCTTCTTCCTTAGCAAGAGACCCTTATATTGTTGAGTGTGGTGATTTGGCTAGCTAGCTACAAGTGCTGGCTACATTTTTCCCTCCTATAAAAGACATGTTGAGACGAGTACATTAGAGACTCAGTAAGCTATAGATCAGATTCTGCCCACCACCCTCAAAAACATAACATTCCTACTTTAAACAGAGCAATTCAACTTTTATTCATTTTATTCATTTATTTATTTATAAATGGGGTTAAGAGCCATATCTCAAACTTGAGCAGCCTTCTTGATAAACCAGGGACATATAGATGAATAGGCAGGCCAATACGTTGGTATTCCTTGAAAATAATCCCTTCTGAACATTGCCAGTTGCTTACAGAGGCAGAACATTGCATAGGGAAAGAGTAGAGCAAGAAGAGATCTCATGGCTTCTACGCTTAGACTCTCTTTCATTGTCCAGGAAAATTCAGCTTTGGTCCAAACCAGCACATTACTCAGCCACCTCTTTAGCAAGAAGCTGTATCTGGTAGACTGCTTTTGGCTATAGGTAACAGAAACTCTACATCATGTTGTCTTAAATAATGAGGATATTTCATGTGACAGGAAATCCAGAGGTACATGGATTTCAGGATTGGCTGATTCAGTAATCCAGCACTGAACTGCTTTCTCTTTATTGGCTCTGTCATCTTCACTGCTGTCATCAGGCTGTCCACTCACAGTGCCTAGATGTCTTCCAATAGCAGCTGAGTCACACCCTGCAAAGCTCAGGAAAAAGAAACCTATTTCATGTGAAGAGGAAATTTTTTTCTTCATGTCTGATGGGGTCAACAAAGCTCAAATACTCATCCCTGGCCCAAAAACAGATTCTAAAGGAATGCCAGACTCTAATTGGCTTAGACCAGGGATCTGCAAACTTTCCCTGTAAAGAAGGAGATAGTAAATAATTTAGGCTTTGTGAGACATATGGTTTCTGTCACAACAATTCAACTCTGTCGTTCTAGTGCAGAAGCAGCTATAGACAAAATGTAAATGAGCGTGGATGTGTTCCAATAAAACTTTATTTATGTATATAAAGTGTCCAGAACAGATAAATCTACAAAGACTGAAAATAGATTATTGACTATCTAGAGCTTGAGGTACTAGGGGGATTGAGGGGTGATGGCTTAAGGGCATGAGGTTTCTTTTGGGGGTAGTGAAAATGTTCTAAAATTGATTGTGGTGATAATTGTATAGCCCTGTGAATATATTGAAAGCCATTTAATTGTATACTTTAAATGGGTGAATTGTACAGTATGTGAATTATATCTGAATAAAGCTGTTAAAAAACATGGCCACAGAAATTAGAATTTTGTATAATTTTTATGTGTCAACACACACTATCCTTCTTTTGGTTTATTTTACTAGTCATTTGAAAATGTAAAAACCACTCTTAGCTTACAGGCAGCAGTGGCTGGCCATGTTTTGTCCATGGGCTTTAGTTTGCTGACTCCTGGCTTAGACTAGTTAGGATGCCGTTCTGGAGGTAGTGGATGGGTGAGCCTTTCCTGGTTCAAATGAGGGAAAGGTTGACATCTGAAAATAATCAGGACTCCTTTAGAGAGGAATAACAAGAAAATAGCTGGCTGCAAGGCAGACAGCTGTGCCCCTTGAGACAATTTAGGAAACTTCTCTTGCTGGCCAAACATGATCTTTGGGCATCAAACCCTTAGCCTCAAGCCTCTTAGCAAAATATTATTTCCAATCCCTCCATGCCAAAAAATCAATACCTTTTTAAATTCTATTCCTACATTTAAATTTTCTGATCGAAATTCATAAACTCTCATCTTGACCAATTTCCCACATCACAGGCAGTCCAGGATGGCCTGTCTTGTGGATGGGGTGTTAATCTCTCTTTCTACCTCTTACTCTCTGTCTCTGTCCCTAGGAGCAATTCTAGCATATAAAACTTTATCTCCTTAGATTTTCAATGAGATATGTGCATCCTCATAGATGCTCCCAGGGGAATGGGAGTCAGGGATACCTTGCTGTCAGAGGTAGACAAAGGAGCTCCACCTATGTGCACAAATAAACCATTCTGAGTGACTCCCTGTGGTCTTCACTGCTAAATCAAGGCCTCTGTGGCTTAGGTAACCGCCTTTTTGCAGCCTCTCTGGCAACAAATGTAAGAAACAAAGCTGCCTCCTTTTGCTCCTATTCTGACTTCAGATTTTGCCTTCCCAAATTTGAGGAGAAGTATGAAGCAGTACAAAGATCACAGGAGAGAAAGTCAAGAGACCTGGCCTTGAATTGCTATATGACCTTGGGGCTGTTCCTTCACCTACAAGATAGACAGTAATGAGAGCACCAAGAGTAGTAAAGATAAATTGCTCTTCTGAGTCTGGAGGATGAGAAGATGATCCCTTCTAGCTTGGAGGAGAGAAACAGGCTCTTAAAGCAAGAGCCTGTGAGATCAGACATCTGGGAGAAGTGGGAATTGAGAGGAAGGATAAAGGGCCAGAAGTGGTAAGATTCTGACATTGATTTGGAATTCAGAGAGTGTGCTGGAATGCTTGAGGGTTGAAGGAGAGAGTGTGGAGATAGGACTGGAAAAGGAAGATAGGAATGGATCTGATGCTAGCCTTAGGGAAGGTCCTGAGGGATGAGTTTCACCTGGCACTTAGCCTGCTGCCCCTTCCATGATCCCAAACTTCTGCTTTCCTGAGCACAAACTAGGGAGAAATTCCTGGCCACAAATCTGCCATTCCTGTCTCCTGGTTACAGTTCCACTCATGTTCCCTTCTCTGCTATGAAGGATGGATTTGTCTGCTTCAGTGTGTTAAGGCAAGTTCATTTCACTTTAAAGTGAACAAAATTGAGTTCATTGACTTTACAAGGCTTCTAGTGCACACTGCATGTGATATTTCATCACTTCCCTAGACAGGCCCTCTAGAAGACTGCTCAGTGTTTCCAAAGGGAATTACCAATCTCCCTCCAGGAAAGAGAGTACCCTGTAAGGTAGTGAAGAGCGGGGGACGATGGGGGTAGCCAGTTCCCTCAGGAATAATCGAAGCTGCTGAAATAATCCAAGCTCTCATTTCTTCAGGCTTGCAGGGAGTTGGTCCTGAGGAGAGCATGCTAACAACCCCAGGAAATTGCCTTCACCTTAGTGAGTTTTACAATGAAGCTTCCCTTTTAAGTAAAGGAGCAAGCCTGTTAGTCATCTAATTGGAAAGAACTGTGGGTGAATAGGATAAAGGTCTGGGGAAAGCAGGTATTAGCAAATGCTGGTGCACCTCAGGTGAGCCTGGAAGGGGTGTCAGCAGGCTGCCTCTAATAGGTGGAAAGGACACTCTCTCCTCGCTCTGGAAAAGCCTGAAAGGACACTTTCTTCCTTCTCCTAAAAAGTTTTGCTCCATCTGGTGACATTGACCTGTGAATTCACCTTGAGAATTGAACTCTTTGGCTTCAGCCTGCTCTACAGCATGCTCTTTTGAGATGCCAGTGCCCTTTGAGAAGCAGCATATGCAGGTGCGTAGCTGTGTGGATAGCACTGTGGATAAAGGCCAGGGCTTTGGGGTCACATAGCCCTGCAGTTGAATATATTACTTCTACCACTGGTCAGCTGAGAAAGCCCTGTTGAAATAGTTGCTTAATGTTTCTAAGCCTCATCTATAAAATAGGATAATTATAATCTACTTCCTAGGGTGATTGTGAGGATAAAATGAAGGTATGGGCACATGTCAGGCACAGTTCTACATGTCTTTACATGCACTACCTCATTTCATCCTCCTGACTACCCTATGAAGCAGGGACTATCAGCATTCCCACTTTACAGATGAGGAAATTGAGGTACCCAGATACATGGCAGAGTTGAGATTTGAACTTAGACTATCTGACTCCAGAGCCTGAGCCCCATGCTATGCACCTTGGTACACCATTGGGGCCCAACAAATGGATATTTGGTATTGTTACTGTGTAAGATTTTATAAGGTGCTTTAGTGTCAAAGATTCCCAGACTCTGGAAAACCCTAGTGGCATAAGGAACAGTAAAGAGATGAAAAGGAGAGGCAAAAGGACAAGAGCAGCAGGGCCCGTGTATTCTCAGGAATTGGGCTGTAAACCTGTCTCATGTGGTAGTAAATGCCCCCAATTTAGGGCTGACAGCACTCCTGCCTGCTTGTCCAGTCAAGACCCACATCCCATTTATGGGGCTGGGCTGGGCAGCCAGCAGGCTTGTGTGCCAGGCTCTACTCTGATGCACCTTGGCTTAAGGAATTCAGAAAAATCATAAAATCATTGTGAGCTTCCATTGTGCTGTTTGTGAAAAGAACTAATCCTCTTTGCTTCCCCTCACAGTAAGGTTTTGACTGTTAAGCACCAATGTGGAGATGAGAAGTTTTATGTTAGGAAAACACAACACTCATCCAAGTAGGAGGAGAAGAAAGTTGAATTGGGTTACTCAACTCTTTTGCCTTATTTATTCATCCATTAAATGAATATTGATCTAGCACCTGCTTTGTGCCAGGTCTAGTGTTAAGACCAGTGGTGACATGAGCAAGATAAAGTCCTGTGTTTAGGAGTTTTCTTCCAGTGATGGATATGCATGCAGGGTGCATCAGAGTGTGATACACACCCTCTAGAGTCAGGCTATACAGTACCATGAGAAAAGAAAATGATTCTGACAACTGGATGGGTACTATTAAACCTAATTCTCATGAATTTATCAATTAATTTGTAATATACATAGAATGAGCTAATATTATCAGTTAGAACCCACTCCTAAGTTTTTAGGGAAAGAGACAGCAAATTCAAGAAATCAAGGTGACCCTGTGAATTTAGCTTAGCTTTAAGGAAACTTTACGAAGGGACTGGAAGGCAGCCCACTCTCTCTTACTTTCTCCAATTCTACATTTATTTGCAGGAAATGATCATAGACTTATTAGTTATTCAAGATGGACTATCTTTTGGGGATCCCTAATATCAGCATTTCTAATCTTAGACACAAGGACTCTTGGGGCTCACAGGACATGCCCTGGGGCAGGAAAGTACAGGATGTTGCATCTGAATGCTTTAGACAGTGTTTTGAAGAAGCAAAAATGTTGAAGGGTTTTATGTTTTATTAACAAAAATAGCCAATTCAATCAAAATATCGTTTCTCCAGCAGTTTGGTGGTTGAGTGTTGATGATGCATGTAAACTGCACAATAACTGTAGCTAGCAACAGGTCTGGGGAAACTAAGCCATTACTTTTTTTTTTTTTTTTTTTTGACACAGAGTCTCGCTCTATCACCTAGGCCAGAGTGCAGTGGCACCATCTTGGCTCACTGCAACCTCCGCCTCCTGGGTTCAAGTGATTCTCCTGTCTCAGCCTCCAGAGAAGCTGGGATTACAGGCATGTACCACCATATCTGGATAATTTTCGTATTTTTAATAGACTGGATTTCACTATGTTGACCAGGTTGGTCTTGAACTCCTGACCTCAGGTGATCCACCCACCTTGGCCTCCCAAAGTGCTGGGATTATAGGCATGAACCACTGCACCCGGCCCTAACCCATTACTTTGAAAGGCCAAATAGGTCAGCCTGAGGCCTTATGCTAGAGTTTAGTGTTAGAGTTTAATGTTCTTTTCCCAACCAGTGACACAGACCCTTGAGTCAGAAGACTTCCTTCATTCGCCCAGAACTAGACATCCAAATGTGCCTTTTTTCCCAAGATGGCTGTCAGAGCCCTATCTCCTGTTACTATCACTTTTATTGTTGAGTGAATCAAATTATTGCAGTGAAACCCCACTATAAATGACTGTGTTTAACAAGGAAAAGGTATAATGATGAATTCTCATTAATTCAACACTTTTATTGGATTCCTCTGAGGTGGAGGGGACTGCTGGAGGGCTGAGGACACAGCGATAAGAAAGTCCTTGATCAAACAGAACCTATTACAGGAAAGAGAGATAAAGAAATAAATAAACAGATGGATACTTTGGTTTCACTCAGTGATAAATATTTAACAAGGAAAAATAGAGTAAAAATAGACCAATAGGAGGGGAGAAAGTCATCACTTTAGATATGTGGTCAGCAACACCTATTGCAGGATTGAGAATAGGTTATTTGAATAGGATCTGAATGAAAGGAGGTGCTACTTAAATGTCTGGGAGAAAAGCTTTCCAGGCAGAGAAAATAGCAAGTGCAAAGGTCTCGAGGCTGGTGCAAGCTGAGTTTAGTGTTCTGGCAAAGCAAAAAGACCAGAGTGGCTGGAATAGAATAATCAAAAGAAAGAGAAGAAATGAAGTTGGAAAAATGGCAAGAATCCAGACCATATAGGGATTTGAAGACAATAGTAACGATTTGTATTTATACGAGTGAGTTGGGAAACCATTAGAGGACTTAATCTGGGGAATGGTATAATCTAAATGTAGGAAAGATCACTTTAGCTTCTGTGGTGGGAATAGACTGTAGAGGGATGAAAGGGAGAGGTTAATCAACTATGGTCTTTCTGAAGTCAGAATCAGAGGGCTGGGATGGATTGGTAATGTCTCTCATCAGGGGGAAGTGAGGAGGTGGGGTAGAGGGAGGTAGGTAACTTGTGTCTCCACCTTAGGAGAAAGTACAGACCCGGCAGTCAGAAAACCACTTCCTAGGTGTCTGACCATGTGCAAATCACTTAACTTGGGTGTCAATTTTCTCATCTGTCAAGAGGATGAAAGCATCTCTTAGGAACTTCTAAGTGTCACAAGAGACAACATGTTGTCTGACACATAAATGTTCTATAGCGACAAGTCATTATTTATCTCACCTCTCATTTACAGAGAAGCAAACTGAGACCCAAAGAAAGAACAGGCTTTGCTTAGCCACCCAGTTAATTCCTGGCAGGACCAGGTCTAGGCCCAGACTCCTATCTTCCAATTCCCTATGGCAGGAGGGAAAGGGTAGAGAGGAATGTCAGGGCAAAGGGGTATCAGGAGGGGCTCAGAGAGATGCAGTACGTCTTGAATTGGACCCTCTTCTCCCAGTCCTTCACTTTGGGTGTGCAAAGTTGGCAAGAATGGTTTCATCATGAAGCAATTGCTCATTCCCTGTGCCTTTTTACTGGTGACATCTGAATATAACATATCAGCACAGAGCCCGTTTGCTCAGGATCTTCTCACTTGGGCCTTCCCATCCATCTGTTTTTCGAATGCTCTTTCTGTTTATAGCAGGCTACACCTCTGTCCCAAGTTAGAAGAGGTTTGACAGCTCCTTCCATGCCACGTGGTTGCCTCCTCTCAGTGTGTGTGTGTGTGTGTGTGTGTGTGTGTGTGTGAGGGGGTGTGTGGGGTTCCTCATCACTGAGTCTCCTCACTGTTAACATTTTCTTCTGTCACTGACTGCAAAAATACATTTCCTGAATCATAGCATGCCAGTCCAACCTGCTTAGTGCATAAATGAGAAAAGAGAGGCACAGGGTCACATAGCACAGGGTCACACAGGGTCAGCCAAGGTCACATAGCAACTCAGAGGCAGAGCTAGGACTAGACATCTGGTCTCTTGATTGTTAACCCAGTACTCACTCCATCACCTCATCCTGTGCCAGGATGGATGACCCAGCCCTCTTCTCATCTTCTTCTGCAAAGATAGAACTATAGAGACCCAAGGAGGACTTTCAGAAGTGATGCTGTGAGGGTAGCTAATAGATAAGTAAGACAGAAATCATCTTCGTAAAGCCAGAAGAATGAAAATATTGATTGTCCACTGTGAGGCTAAATCCTACAGTTTCTCTTGCCCTCTCTCTTCCAGTTACCCTCTATCATTTTGCACTGGTGACACACAGCCTTGTGTTGCATCATATCTCCTCATGAGGGATGACACGGGAAAGACCATTTATCCTTCTCTCCACATAGCACCATGACCAGGTACAGATGGACAGCTAAGAAGGGTTAGAAAGCAAGCCAGCAATAGCCTAGCCAGAAAAAAGAACAATGTAGTGTCTTAAAAGGAAAGACTTTCATCTCAAAGTCTCCTCTTTCAACCTCTTCCTAGCTGACAAGTCATTTACACATTTCAAGCTTCCAAGGGCTCCTCATATGTCAAGCAGGAATAAAAATTTCTATCCTGCCTGAAGCCAAAGGACTAAGCCTGAGATTGTATGTCCCCCAAGACCAAGGGCTAGAAATCTTAGTGAACATATTAAGACAGAGGCAGGAGAGGCACAGAGGAACATGGGCCCAGGACAGGGGCACTGACTCAACATCCAGCTCTGTACTGGCCTGTCTGGTGTCCTTGGAGAAGCCACTTAAGCTCTTTTGTGCCTCCGTTTCATCTGAAAATGGAAATAGCCTACCTCATAGAGGCTTTGTAAAGCATCAGTGAGGTGAGAGTTATAAAACAATTAAGCATCATTACCACTGCTATTGTTATTACCCTTCCTATTTTTTTCTTAATACTTAATAACTTTTGGAGATTATTCTTCCACATATGATGAGAATCAGAGAAATCTGCTCATTACTTAATGCTGCCTTAAATGTCTCCTCTCTTGTGACATCTTCCACTGTTCTTACCCCCTGAAAATAAGAAACAGAAGTATTCCTCCTTAGAGCTTGTATAACTTAACTTTACCAATACCTCAAGACTGCAGTGCATACTATGTTAAATCAAGGCACAGTTGGCTGTCTTTCTTGGTGCTCCTTGAGGAAAGCCAGACAAATTATGTTGTACTCCTTCTGAGCTTGATGATCCTTGTACAAATTACTATCCAAGTGTAATTTTCAAAAATAAAAACAAAAATTTAAAAAGCCATGACTTTCATACAAATATAGAGTGAACACACATCAGAGATTATCTCATTAATGAAGTAACCGGAAGGACGATCAAGCTCAAAGAAGGATCCCAGAGGTGTGTATGGAGTCACTGAAGAAAAAAAAACAAAACACACACATGGAAATAAGATGGCTAAGTTATATACAAAGGTAGTTAATGTCCTACAGGCCAATTGAAACCATAGCTTCTGGGGTTATCTTTTCTACTAGACAGAAATCATTTGCTCTCTACCAGGCAGAACTCATTTGTGACTTATTTATCATTTACAAATTAACATCTTGCATGAAATAATCCGGGCCTAATTAATTAGAAGCCAGATGAAGTCCATTCCCCTTAAGAATCAGATAAACCTTGGGTGAGCCCATTAGAGCTCCAGTACTGAAAGGATGTGTGATTGTCCCTTTCTCTCAATTCCCAGGTTTTGGATAGTTTTTAATCATTATCAACCTCTCTAAACCTCAGTGTCTTCTGTCTGCAAAGTGGGGATAACAATACCTATGTCCTAGAGCTGGTTTTACGGTTACATGAAGCCAAGCACATAACATACCCAATACACTGTCTGCTGTGTTCAGTGCTGGCACATGATTAGCCAAATATTATGGTCCAAGCTTTGGAAGGAAAATGACAATAAGTGTCTACTTTGTGTCAGATACTATGCTATATGTTTTACAAATGCTTATATGTACTTCACTTACCTTAGAAATACCTGTCAGGTGAGTATTAATTTAGTTCAAATTTACATGCAAGGAAATTCAAGTTATCAGGAGTTAGTTGACTTGACTGAGGTCTCAGAGCTAGGGAGTACAGAGTAGGTCTGTGATTCGAAAGTTCTTTCCATAAATGTTGCTGCCTCTTTAAAAAAAAAAAAAAGAAAAAGAAAAATCACAGGACAAGTATTTTGTACAGCATTTGCAATGAACTCAAATTTGATTTAATGACATTTATTCATTTTCCTGTAATTCATCCAGATTTTGTTCTTTCCTTTCCCCCTCCCCACCCTTCCCCACTCCTAAACCAAAAAGCTTTTCTCTTTACCATTCACTTAGCACTTCAAAGTGGGAAGGATGTGCCTCTGAGTGAAACATTGTGATGGCAAAATGACACTTCATTTTCCAGGAGCCCTAACAAAGCCTTTTGATTTGAATGTCAATGCAGCAAGTATGATTAAATGTAAGATTCATTTTTACATTTCCCAGCTGCAAAATAAGTTGTACAGTTCAATTAGTTTGCCATGTGATTGAGGATGCAGCCCCTAAAAGTTGCTATGGTGATGCAACAAATGAGAGTGGTGTCAGGACTGCGGCCCAGGGTATTTCCAGATACTGAAATTGAAAAGGTTACAGTTTGGGAAGATGATGCAATTTACTTGCCTTTAGAGTCCTCTAAAGAGGTTGTGTTTCTACTCTTTCTGTGATGCTTGGGCTCTCCATACTGACATGAAGACACACATCTTTTTTTGGAGAAAAAATTAGCCACAGACAGGACCTTTGGTTAGTCTCTTTCTCTTTTTTTCTATCTCAAATCATGTGCTGTCCTGAGACAATTTGGGATCTGGAAAGAATAGTCTAGAAAAAGAGTCAAGATCTTATAATTTATCTATGATGGCTTTAGGTCCCCATCCTATCCTTTTGGGGCCCTCTTTTTCCTGCCAAACAAAATACGCTTCAGTTCTTACTAGTGCTCTGTTGGATAACATGGTCGCCTTGGCTCTGAAGTGATTTGAGTAGACACCTGAACGAAGTTAGGGAGTAATACTTCTGAATATCTGTGGGAAAAATATTTCTTCTATTTGCTTCCTTCAAGGCAGTTTTCAGAAACTGTCATAATTTATTTTATTTTCTATTTTCTGTCCCCTTTACTGAGCTCTGTCTAAGCCCAAGACAGCAGACATCATATTTATTTAGTTTTCTAGTGTACTTTCCCACACTTAGCATAGAGCTTGGGACTAGTAGGAATGAATGACATCTGGATATGAATTCTGACTCTTGCTGGGTCTTTGGGAAGGACACTAGTTTTGCTAGATGCTAATCCCCTTCTTTGTAAACTAAGGGTGACCATCCACCTCTGCATACTTCTAGGGTTGTGTCAGGAAAGAGTTAGTAATGGACATGTAGGAGCTTTTTAAATGGTAAGATGCTACAGAAATAAAGGACTTTTTGGTTGGAATGGATGGGGCCTTTTGAATATATGAGTATATAGAGTAATAGCAGAACCAAACAAGTTATTTTCTTACATGAGAATTCACTTGAAGATTTGTGTAGCAAGAGGTTATCAATATCCTCATTAAAATGTCCCCAGAGAGTCACAGTAGTAAAATGTTCTCTTAATCTCTTCTGTAGGAGCATTGTAAGAATTCATTAAAGTTGGTAGAATGATTTGATAACCTCCAATAATAGGTGTGACAAGGGTGTAAACTTATGTTATAAAATATGAATTGGGTTGTTTTCTGGATCAGTTAAGCAGGCAACAAGGGAGGGCAATTTGAGGAGGTGCATTGCAATGCCTGGTGAAGAATGAGTACTGGATTTGACTGTTGTCCAGCTTCTCTTTCTTTCTCTTTCTTTCTTTCTTTCTTTTTCTTTCTTTCTTTCTTTCTTTCTTTCTTTCTCTTCTTTCTTTCTTTCTCTCCTTCTCTCCTTCTCTCCTCTCTTTCTCTCTCCCTCTTTCTCTCTCTCTTTCTCTTTCTTTCTTTCTTTCTTTCTTTCTTTCCTTCCTTCCTTCCTTCCTTCCTTCCTTCCTTCCTTCCTTCCTTCCCTCCTTCCTTCTCTTTCTTTTCTTTCTTTGCTTGCTTGTTTGCTTGCTTGCAGAAGCGTATACTTCAGGCAGGACAGGAGGCAGGTAGAATCCAGGACAGTAGTTAGGAACACTGGGTTCTGGTCTGATGAGATACTGAGGAACTTCAGGCAAGGCATAGACCTTCTCAAAGCCTCTGTTTCCTCCTTGGATGCATAAAAACACTTTGAAATCTATTCCACAAAACCAGATCTACAGGCTATCAATTAGAAAGACATGGGGGGAAGAAGGGGGGTTCTTTGGTCTAATAAGGTAGATAGACTTTGAGTTTAAAATTAAACAAGCTTGCCTTAGGACCACACTTCTGAATGCTTTTAATATGTTCCTGTCAATCTTGGGGAAGGGGAGATGGAAGGCAGATGTACTGCATATCTTGAAAATATTGTACTATGAATTTTTTTCTTGCAGTTAACATGTCAGTGAATAGTACTCTCTGACTGCTTTGGGAAATACTGGACTCCAAAATGATGTGTTAGGTGACTATCTAGCCTCAAGATTCACTCAGGGCAACATCCTAATACACTGCTCTAATTTCACTGAGACATTTCAAACATATTAGAGCAAGTGTTAAAAACAAGCAAGCAAGGAAAGAAACTAGCAAATCCAGCATCCATAGCCCTGATGTCTGCCCTTTAGAAATCTCCGTTTAAATATATCAAAGGTGTTGAAAATCAGCCTGTCCAGAGCCAAACTCAAACTTCTTCCCTTCTGTATCAAGCCTGTCCCAGACCCCCTCCAGTGTCCACTCTCTCAGAGAGTGGTGCCATCAGAAATAAAGGGGCCATCTGTAACAGCTCTTTATCTGTCATTATCATCTCCAAATTCTCTTTAGTTGTATTTACCTCCCATATATCTCTTCAAAACCAATCGCTTGTCTCCATCTCATACAAGATGAATGCTGGCAGGCAAACCTAGCTTTTGATGACCTAGCTTATACATCATCTCAGGTAATCTTGCAGGTGAATATTTATCCCCAGTGAACAGATAAGGAAATTGAGACTCCAGGAGCCTAAGCAACTTGCCCAAAGTCACATAGCCAGTCTTCTAACAGTTAAGCTTAGAGACAGGGTCAGCTCTAAATCACCCTGTTGAGTAAGTATGTCATTGCTGCTTCCCTGAGAGCAACTCAAGTCCAAGATTTCCCATTGTTCAAATGTGATTTTTAAAATTCCTGCTTTGCCTACATTATAGTATTGATGTAAGTATAAAATTCAGGACAGAAATGGATAGCACTTTAGAAATGAAAAAAATTGTTGTACAAATGCAAGGTCTTATTACTTTACTTGGCTGCAGAATTCAAACGGACCAGGAGAATGCATCTTGATTGGAATAATCTCTGTGATAACAGCTTCAGTCAATCTTTGGAAAGATGGTACTCTCTGAGAGCTCTGTCCATCTCCTCAAATAAGAACTCTTATAACATTCACGAAAGACAGGCAACATTAAGCCATTTGAACTGCATTTGTAATTTCCCAGATGGGTCAATCCAGAAACCAAAGCCCAATTTTAGAGCTTTAATGTTGTTAAAAGAATCTAATTCATCTCCCTTATTTTACAGATGTGGAAACTGAGGTCTATAGAAAACTCAGTGAAAGTCAAAACCGTTAGGCAAGTCACAATTGTATTTCTTTTCATCTCTCTTTCTTCTCTTCCCCCAAATCTCAACCTAGGATGTTTTTCAGAATTTTTTTTTTCCACCTATATAATCCCTAAATTCCTAAAACTGATATTAAAGTTCGAGGCCTCTCGAAACTTAAGAGGAGCACTTTGTGGGCATTTGTCTTAGGGAAAAGGAGAGATCCTTTGGGGTTATTAGACAGAGCCATATGGACTCTGTAGGTTTTCTGGGCAAAGCGTTTTGTGTGTTTCCCAGTGTCCATGAACTTGGAGGCTGGGTTGTAAAGTGGAGTCACAGGGTGGAAAGGAAATAACATGAGTAAGAGCCTTTACTAAGAGCATCTCCTCTTTGCAGCGTGTTCTACCTGCATCCCCAAAAGCTCAAGCTACAACCATCCCCCTAGGTGTGGGCCAAATACTGCCTACAGATTCTATTTTTCCTCCCCAGTATTTGCAATTTTATCTTATACAACCAATAGTGCCTTCCAGAAAAGATAAACAATATGTAAGTTTATAAAATGAACCATGAAAACTGCTCACCAGAGTTCCACCCTCACCACCCTCACAACTCACTTTTCCTTCAAGTGAGTAGTTCAATGTGCATACTTCCAGGTTCTTGGTGCACCTTCACTGGCAAGGGAGGGAGATACAGAACCCAAATACCTAGAATGACCAAGAAGTAGTATAAATATGCTAAGCAGGGGTGTTTGAAGTACATGCCCTGTCTGTAGGGGGCGCCACAACCTTGCTCCCAGGAATTGCTGCTTCCTGGGAATGCAGAGCCCCCAGCATTGTTTAAGATGCTTCAGTTTCTTAAGCCTAGCACCAAATTCAGACTTTTTCATAAAAGCTTCTGACTTTAAGATATTAGCAATGAATTCTAAATTTTTAGAAGTGCTACTAGGCCATATAAGACATTTGTAAGCCAGATACAGCCCACAGATTTACAACCTCGGACTTAGGAACAGATGTACATAAATAGGAGCACACTTTGTACATGTCTTGTGATTGCTTATTGCCTCCAACTCCATACTATTGGTACTGATCTTTCTTCTTTATTATTATTTAACTTTTAAGTTCAGGGGTACATGTGCAGGTTTGCTATATAGGTAAACTTGTATTGTGAAGGTTTGTTGTACAGATTATTTTGTTACCCAGGTATTAAGCCTAGTACTCATTAGTTATTTTTCCTAATCCTCTCCCTCCTCCCACCCTCCACCCTTCAAAAGGCCCCAGTGTGTGTTGTTTACCTCTCTGTGTCCATATGTCTCATCATTTAGCTCCCACTTATAAATGAGAACATGCAGTGTTTGGTTTTCTGTTCTTATATTAGTTTGCTAAGGATAATGGCCTCCAGCTCCATCCATGTTCTTGCAAAGGACATGATCTCATTCTTGTTTATGACTGCATAGTATTCCATGGTGTATCTGTACCGTATTTTCTTTATCCAGTCTACCACTGATGGGCATTTAGGTTAATTCCATGCCTTTGCTATCGTGACTAGTGCTGCAACAAACATGCATGTGCGTGCATCTTTATGATATAATTATTTATATTTCTTCAGGTATATACTCAGTAATGGGATTGCTGAGTCAAATGATAGTTCTGTTTTTAGGTCTTTGAGGAATTGCCACAGCATCTTCCACAATGTTTGAACTAATTTCACTCCCACCATAAGTGTTCCTTTTTCTCCACAGCCTCACCAGCATCTGCTATTTTTTGACTTTTCATAGTAGCCATTCTATCTGGTGTGAGATGGTGTCTCACTGTGGTTTTGATTTGCACTTCTGTAATTATCAGTGATGTTGAGCTTTTTTTTCATATGATTCTTGGCTGCCTGTATGTCTTCTTTTGAAAAGTGTCTGTTCATGTTCTTTGCCCACTTTTATGGGGTGTTTTTTTTCTTGCAAATTTAAATTCCTTGTGGAAGCCAGATATTAGATTTTTGTCATCTGCATAGTCTGCAAAAATTTTTTCCCATTTTGTAGATTGTCTGTTCACTATGTTGATTGGTTCTTTTGCCGTGCAGAAGCTCTTTTGTTTAGTTAGATCCCAGTTGTCAATTTTTGCTTTTGCTGCAATTGCTTTTAGTATCTTTGCCCCTTCCTATGTCCAGAATAGTATTGCCTAGGTTGTTTCCCAGGGATTTTATAGTTTTGGGTTTTACATTTAAGCCTTTAATCCATCTTGAGTTAATTTTTGTATATGGTATAAGGAAAAGGTCCAGTTTCAATCTTCTGCATATGGCTACTCAGTTATCCCAGCATCATTAATTGAATAAGGAGTTCTTTCCACATTGCTTGTTTTTGTCAGATTTGCTGAAGATCAGATAGTTGTAAGTGTGTAGACTTATTTCTGGGTTCTCTATTCTGTTCCGTTTGTCTATGTGACTGTTTTTGTGCCAGTACTGAGATTTCTATGTCAGTTTCTATACATCGTGTCATAAATTTTAATGGTCAAGTAGTGATCTCTGATATGGATGTGTTACAGTTTGCCTTCTATTTGTCCTATTGATAGGCGTATGTTCTGATACTTTTTCAGTATATTAAGGGCTTTCAACAAATCTCTTATACATGCATCCTGAAATGTGTATGTGTGAAGGCTTTTTAGGATGAATCACTAATTATTTTCTATCCAAATACTTGCCCTCCTGTCTCATTTCCCCCAGTGGATGTAGAGATCAGGAACCACATCTTACTCCTTCCCATATTCTGTCCTGTATTTAATTAAGTATCCCACCTCTGTAGGCATGACTAAGTTAATGGACTAAAACAGTAAGTGACAAAAATGAAAGTCATAAAACATGACTTTTACCTCTGATTTTCTGAGTGACTTTAGGTAAATTACATTTTTGGTCCAAGCTTCTATTTCTCTATCTGTAAAATGGTCTTCATTTATCAATTCAACAAATTTCTTTTTCAGTTTTTAATTTTTAATTATCTATTTAATTGATATATAATATACATATTTTGGGGGTATGTGTGATATTTTGATACATTTATATAATGTGTGAAGATCAAAGTAGGGTAATTGGGATATTTATCACCTCAAATATATTTTTCTTTATGCTAGAAACATTTGAATTATTCTCTTCTAGCTATTTTTAAATATACAATAGATTATTGTTAACTATAGTCTATTTCAAAAAATTTCAAATATTTATCGAGTATCTTTTCTGTGTTAAATGTTGTGTTAAGTGTGAAGGATGCAGCAGTGATATGAAAATTGTCTTCTTCTAGGTCTGTTCTAAGTTCTTTTTCAGCTCCAACCTTCTTTGATGCTGTGGTATCCTGCCATGACTCTCAACCCCAAGCCCTACACTGATGTGAAAATTGAAAGTGTCACACTCTTCCATGAGCAAGCGCTAAGAGGTCTCCACTGAACATGTGTACTGTGGGGATTATTAAATGCTATGTACTGACAATTGCTAAGGGCAAAATATTCAGAAGCAGGTTTCACTGTCGAAACATGCTATGTTTTGGATAATTTCCTTTGTCCTGTGAAAACTCATTATACTCTTTTCAAAGAGCCTAGCTTCCACTAGTTAAGTGATGGTAATTGAAAGGCATCTTCTCTTTTGTCTGTCAGCTAGGGAAGGTAGGTTGTCCCAGCTTTGCTAAACGTTATTCCCAGAGGTCAGAACAGAATAAAAATAGGAAAAGTGAAAACAAGTAGGACTTCGTACATTAGGGAATAAGGCAATAAACTCATTAAGTGTCAAGAAAGGGCACAGGGGAGTCAGCATCTTGTAGTAGAAATAAAATCACATTGAGAAGGAAAGAAGTGCAGTATGGTGGCTTAAATCTCAGGCTCTGAAACCATGCAGACATGGTTCCAGAGGTTTCATTTCTGCTCCGACAATTAGAAATGATTAGTTGCACAAATTTTAACCAGTCAGCAGTCCCATTTTCTTTATCTGTAAAATAGTGATAATGCCATCTAATTAACTATTGAGTGCATTAAATGAATACACACACACACACACACACACACACACTAGCTTAATCCTGACTACTAATCATCAATACAGTTTTATTACTACTATAAAAGATGTGAATGATATATTGCCTAGTTTTACTTCTGACATGGACTAGATTTATGATGTTGGAAAAGACATTTTCTTTCTTGGGGCTTCTGTTGTATTATCTCTAAAAAGAGAGACAAAACCATCCATAGTTACCTCTAAGAACTACAGTGAGGCTCCAAGAGAAGAGATAAATGACTGTGAAAGCATTTTATAACCTCGAATATGAGTTGGCAATTAATCCAATGACTCAAGTTACACATTAAAGAAAGTTGTAAATCGGAGTATTTTCCCAACATTTGAGGTTAATTTTATGCCACAATTTCATTAGGGAATGAAAACATAGCAGATGGGAGCACAGCACATGATAACTTAATTTGATTCAGTTTCTGGTCCATTCTTTTAAATATTTGAGAATCTACCAGGTAGCATTTAGGTGCTATTAAATACAACAGTGAAAAGTAAGCGCTAGACTTTGCTTTCTTGCAGCTTAGAGTCAAACAGAAGGTACAGTTACTGATTAAATCATCGCACAGTAATGGCTAGAAACAAGTAACTGCTAAAGCCGAACAAAAAAGAAGCAGAAAAGACATCTAATTTTAATTGAGAGTTACAGAGGTGTGAAGGGTCATAGTGTTAAAATGGAGTAAAGTTTGCATATATATTATTATTAACCCATTATTCATACAATCACTACCTCCTTGATGTTGATTTTATTATTCAAGAAATTTCTAGTTATAAGATGATACATGCCAAGGAGCTCTAAGTTTGTGTTTAGTTTATATATCATTTATTTAGAGTTTATGTTCTGAGAAGTATTCTAAGCACTTTACAAATATTAATATTTATTTCTCAAAAAATCCCATTTCTTATCTTTATTTTGAAGATAAGAAAATAGAAGTGTAGATAACACAAGTTCAAGTCATAATTCACCTCTTAGGGAGATTAAACCTTGGACAGTGATTCAGAGCCTCATTTCTCTGCTCTGTATGTTAAAGATATGAGTCCCAGCCAGCATCTTAGGGTTAGCACAAAGATCACATAGAATAATAATATTTTTTTAAACCATGAGTATGTAAAGGGTTGT
Organism: Homo sapiens; assembly: GCF_000001405.40. Classification (NCBI taxonomy): domain Eukaryota; kingdom Metazoa; phylum Chordata; class Mammalia; order Primates; family Hominidae; genus Homo; species Homo sapiens. Next base: position 153,421,740 of record NC_000005.10, on the reverse strand, counting down.
TATTTGTGGTATCCAGGACATAGCATCACAGGTTCATGTTGGATGCAGCAAAAATACTGCACATTAGCACCACTACATTAATATTTGCAGCAGTACCTTTTGTTCACACCTTGTAATTTCTATTTCTTTTTTCCCCCATTACTATATATTTGTGCCATGGTATTGCTGAGTCCCATTCACGCTCTTTTCTGGGACATTTGAAACTGTATTGACAACTTCGGAGATAACTCAGCATCATCGATTGACTTTATGGGAGGATGTTCTTATGTTAGTGAATATCTGAGAATTTAATTCCTTCTAAAATACTCCATATATAACCTTGCCTTAGACAATAGGACAAAAAACAAGACAATGAGCATCCATAGTGATGACTGTGTGGGAAAACACTGGGTCAGGGCCTAAAGCAATAGTCCCTTCCCTTATGACAGCAGAACTAAGCAGTTCATACCGCCTTAGAAATAGAGAAAAATCAAAGTTGATAGTATCACTGGTAGTATAATTCATGCCATCACCAGTAATTTTGCATACACTCTTCTCCTAAAATGACAGGAAGACCTTCAAGTCTGACATCTCTCAAATTATCCCTCTCTCATGGGGTGGTGTAGGAAGGCAGTGATAGCTACAGGTTCCTAATTTCAAATTTACTGAGAGAGCAAACAAAGATGCCTTATCTTGGGTCACCCTGCTAGTCACTGAGGGTCTTCTAACAGAATAGGTGGCATGGCAGAATAATGGCCATGTCCTAATCTCTGGAACCTGAGAATACAAAACCTTAGATGGCAAAAAGGACTTTGCAGATGTGATTAAGTTAAATATATTGAGATGAAGAGATTATCCTGGATTGTTTGAGGGAGGCAGGGGGGTCAGAGCAAGAAGATGAGATGTAATAGCATAAGCAGAATTTGGAGTGATGCAGCCTTGAGCCAGGAAATGTGGGTAGCCTCTAGAAGCTGGAAAAGGCAAGGAACAGATTCTCCCCTAGAGCCTCCAGAAGGAATTTAGTTTTGCCGACATTTTGATTTGAGCTCCATAAAACCCATTTCAGACTTCTGACCTTCAGAACTATAATGTCATACATTCGTGATGTTTTAAGCCGCTATGTTTGTAGTAATTTGTTACAGCAGCAGTAGAAAACAAATGCAAGTGGTCTGCAGTTACACAGTCTGAATGTGAGAGAATTAGGCAAGTGAGTGCAGAAGAAGCAACTCTGTTACTTAGATAGAAAAATTGGACTTAACTTGAATAGAATTTACAGACTATGATTCTGCCATCCCTAGGTTTGAAAGATCCAGCAGGACGTCTGTATACATTGTGTGGCTTGCATTTCTGCCAACTTACACCCTACAAGCTACTTGCAAACTGCCAATCAGCTATTCTCCTGGTGTCCTAACTGCTGAAATCAGCAGGTTTCCCCAGTACATGGCAGTATTTTATAAGCACTAAATTTCTAATCAAGTCTTTTCCTTAAGTTTCCAGCAGTTGCTATGTTCTATTCAGGCCAGAACTTAACTAAGTCAATTAGGAAGAAGATTGGGATCCTCTTAAATTCTCTTCATTTTTTCCCCATAAAGCTTTAAGTTTTTTATTTATAGAAGACATGTTTAGTAAAAGTTTTAAACAACAAAAATATATAAAACATGAAACATCCACTTTCACCATCCCTTATTAATTCTACTTTTCATATATGCCATCTCACGGTTTTTGATACATATCTTACTATTTCCCCCTAAAACTTTCTGGTACATATAGATGTTCTCATTAAAACTAGCTATATTCAACCCATGAAGTAGATGTGCCCTAATTTAATTAGTTCCCTATGAGGGATTTGCAATTTGCTTCTTATTTTTCACAATTACATGCAATCTGCAATGAATCATCTTATAAACTACTCTGAATCCTACATGAGTACTTTAGGAGAAGAGAGCCTGACAAGTGGCATTGCTGGGTCAAAGGGTTTTACGTGATAAATTTTGCCAAAAGCTTTCCTGATTTACATTCTCATTAACAGTATATGAAAACACTATTTCTTCGAATGCTTTTACACTGTTGGTAAATTAGTTCAACCACTGCGGAAGACAGTGTGGCGATTCCTCAAGGATCTAGAACTAGAAATACCATTTGACCCAGCGATCCCATTACTGGGTATATACCCGAAAGATTATAAATCATGGTACTATAAAGACACATGAATACGTATGTTTACTGTGGCACTATTCACAATAGCAATGACTTGGAACCAACCCAAATGTCCATCAATGATAGACTGGATTAAGAAAATGTGGCACATATACACCATGGAATACTATGCAGCCATAAAAAGGATGTATTCATGTCCTTTGCAGGGACATGGATGAAGCTGGAAACCATCATTCTCAACTAACACAGGAACAGAAAACCAAACACCACATGTTCTCACTCATAGGTGGGAACTGAACAATGAGAACACTTGGACACAGGGCAGGGAGCATCACACACTGGGGCTTGTTTGGGGGTGGGGTGCTGGGGAAGGGATAGTATTAGGAGAAATACCTAATGTAAATGACTAGTTGATGGGCACAGCAAACCAATATGGCACATGTATACCTGTGTAACAAACCTGTACCTTGTGCACATGTATCCTAGAACTTAAATTATATAAAAAACAAACAAACAAAAACACTATTTCTCCACATCCTAAAGATAATGCGCTGGATATGATCCATCTTTTTAATATTTGCCAATTTGATATGTGAAAAATGTACTCTGGATGTTGCTTTTATTTTAATTTCCCTATTAAGTAATCAGCTTGAACATCTCCATAGATATTCATTGACATTATTTTTCTTTTTATGTGAATGAGATATATTTTCAGTGGGTTCACCAATGAAAAGGTGGTGGCAATGAATTGTTAGGCAGTGTCTGAACTGCAAATTGAGGCACTGGTGCCCAAGGCTTAAATCCAACACTTTCCAGTGATGTTCAAACTACAGCCAAGAGTAGCGTACATATCCTAGAAATGCTGGGTGTATTTTACACCCTCTGGGAGAAAAATTTATTAATTTCTTTGGCATTTTTGTTCTTCTACCACCCTTTCACTTTGTAACCTTTGGCATATGTCTTCTCAACTCTCCTCAGTTTACTTCTTTATAAAACAAAGCCTGGCAGAGGTGGCAGATGTAGTTCTTTTGCTCTCAAATTTTAAGGTTCTAAAAACACTGATAGAATGAGCACCAATCTTTTCCAAGAACTAACCCTTGGCTAAGTTATCAAGTCAGCCCCATTGGGCTTTCGTAAGGCTCTGACAAGACCTAGTCAGAGAGGGAAAAATATTATTCTACTAAGCACAACCTCATGGAAGATGGGACGTGGAACATAGGAGGAACACAACTACCACAAGGGTATGATCCATCAAGAGTCATATGGAATGAGGCTGGAGGGGACAATCAGGGCTAAACCACAGAGGCCCTTCGGACTAAGTTGCAGATTTTATTCTATAACCAAAGACCAAATTAGAGTCACTGGGTAGGTGGGGGATTTTAAATAGGGCAAATCATTCATCAAATTTGCCTTGCAAAAATAACACTTGGGCTGCAGCACTGAGAATGAATTGGTCAGTGAAGATGCAATGAGACAGACCCATTAGGAGGCTATTGTCAAACAGATAAGAGAGGATGGCCACAAGGACCAGGGAGGCAGTGTTGGAAATGAAGAGGACAAGACTTAAGAGATATCTGCCTGCAGTAAGTTCATTAAATTGACTGGGGAGGCAAATACAAATGAAAAAAAGAGCATAAGCTACCTTGTACTCTTAAGCTCTCAACTCTAATCCCCCTGCGGACAAGGACCATCATATTTCTAGCAACTGGCATAGAATGGGTACACAGTAAGTATTCAGTAAGGTAATAATATGGCTAAAAGAAGGGTTTAGAACAGTAAGACATCACTGCTCCTCAGTGAAATTTCCTGGGAGAGATGAGACGGAAGCTGGTTTTGGGGGGACAATAAGAGCACAATCATCACCCCACTTAATCGTCTTCCACCTGATGATCCAGCACTGAAAGGTATCCACTATACAGTTTGAGAAATTAGCCTCACTTTAATTTCTCAAACGGAGACTTACAGACACTAAATGACATTCAAAATTCTACAAGAAATATGTGACAAAATTATTTGAATCTAGTCCTAACTGCAAAGTCCTTTCCTCAAACAGGCTACATAATCTGACATAAGAGTCAAGGTCAAGGGACTCTAAGAAAAAAGAGTACAGTTAGCTTGGCTGAAGCTAGGCTCAATATCTATGTATCTGCAGTTTGGGTTTTACTTTTTATTTCTTGTATGACTGTGGTATAACATACATGTTCCCCACCCAACTACAAGAGCTCCCCAAATGCTTCCCTCTCTGTTGGGGTTTGCTATCTAGGAACAGCATAAGCATAGTGGTTAAGACCATAACAGAAATATAATCTGAGTTTTTTCTATTCCTATCTCTGTGACTTCCTTGGCCAGATTATTTAATAACTTTGTGCCTGAATTTCAACATGTACAAGTTGAGGAAATAGCCAAGCAGCCCTTATAAAGCAGTTGCAAAGAGTTGAGTGCCTGGCACAGGGTAGGCAGGCATTCAGTACATGTGAATTATTCTTCTCTCTCTCCGGGCTTCTCCTATGGCCATCATTCAAACAATAATTACTGAGTGTCTACTATATTTCAAACTTGTTCTAGGTGTTGAGAACAGAAGGGTGTCCTGGTTATCTACTAAAGCATAACAAACTAGCCCTAAGATTATTGGCTTAAAAATCACAGCGTTTTACTATATTTTATAATTTTGAGGATCAGGAATTTGGGGGCGGGGGCTTGGCTGGGTGATTCTTTTGGTATTGAGTTGGCAGCTGAGCTATCCTGGAAGGTCCTAGAGGTTTCATTCACATGCCTGGAGCCTTGGTGGGGGCAGCTTGGGGGGTGGGCTCAGCAAGCCTTCCCCATCCATGTAGTCTTAGTGCCTCCCACACAGAGAGACTACAAGGTAAGATAATTGAAGGCTGGGAGGTGGGAGAACCAGGAATCAAACCTGATTTGGATGGATCCAAAAACCAATACTCTGTATCTGAAACTTACCTACACTATATTAAGATCAAAGCCTTTCTGACACCATTTTCTGGGCTTGTATATAATCCCCAGGTCTTCTTACCCATGGGAATGTATCACCAGGGTTAGGAAGCCTAACCCATTTCAGTGGCTGGACAAAGCCACTTCCCTTCCCAGCCCTCATTGTCATTATCTATAAAATAAAGATATCTTTTCCACTTGCTCATTTCTCAGGTTCACATGGCAGGTGCTATTGGTAGCAAAGATATCACAGGGAATCAGGGGAGCCCATTTCTGGTCCTGACTCAACTCATTTACTTTGTACCATTGGGATTCTTTCTCCATTTCTGGAACACAGATTCCCATGTTCATGAAATAGTCTCTATCTGTCCTTTCAACTCAGATTTCAAAGAAGATATTGACAAAAATACCATGAATAAATAAAGTCTGTGAAACTGAAAGGGAGCATTACCATGGTTAAGATTACATGAGATGGATTGTGCTAAGTGTATCTTTGAGAAAGGCTGATCAACATTTTCTTGGGGTGAACATCCTGTAAATGGCCAAGGCCAGCGAGGGCATCTATGGGCCTGGATCAGAACAAAACCAAGTGCCCATATGGGACTGTACTGTTAACCTTAGCCATGTACTATGGTATAATCAGACAACCCATTAACCACTAAGCGTCTGCATATGTGACTTGACATCACAAATTTCAAGCTTTTAAAGACATTGTCTGAACCATTTGGGTACACATATTTAAAATTAATCAGTGCAGTTTAAGCCTTAAGGCTAGATGATGAACAAAAAATGGACTTGAAGCAATTATTATAAATAAGGAACTTTTCTGTTTATCCACTTCAGTGTCCCTAGCATCTGGAATGGGCCCTAGCACTCAAACATTCGTGACTAGAATTAAAAAAAATGAATATTTAATACAAATATCATTGAGTGCTACCCTTTATCCATGTAATGGGCCTCTTTAATTTCATGCTTAATAGCAGCAACTGTCAATTACAAAAAGACCCACTTCAAATTATTTTATCTGCTTAGCGGGTTATACTTAATTGATCCTTAATTAAAGGAAGTATCATATAAAGAAGTATTTAGATTCTAGGAAAACCAAGGCCATGAGCCAAGGAGGGCCCATTATGGGTTTGTGGCCCATGAGAGGCTGCACACAGCAATGACCAGGTGACCTTGGATTCACTCCACCTTTTGAGTCCTCAGTCGCTACATCTGTAGAATTAGAATGAATTTAAAGTTCAGCTCTAAAAGTCTATGATCTTAAGAAAATTCTTATCTTACTGACATATAACATGATGTGACAAAAATTAAGTGAGATTCTTCTGCTCAAAATATAAAGTCTGATGTCATAACAATAAGAAATAAATTAACCTTGGGTAATTAAACTCAAGTTTTAGATTTGGCTTTTCCATTTGTCTACAAGACCTTAGGCAAGTCACCTTCCCTCTCTGGGCTTTATTTTTCTCATTTGTCCAATCATCTACCTATATTAAAGGGTTCTGGGGAGACAAATAACAGAACTGTCAGTGTCTTCTTCCTAGAACAGCTTCTCACTTGTCACTGTACGGCCCCTTAGAGATAATTTTTCTGAGTCTTCTCACATCCCTCATGTAGAAACTAAAACCCAGAAAAGGAAAGTGATAAACAGTAGGTTCATGAAGATCTGGGGAAGATATCTTAGCTTTTCATCTGTTTGATATATTTGTTCAATGAGCATCTTAATAACAGGTAACATTTGAAGACAATATACAGAACAGGCACTGTACTAAGAACTTAAGGTGAATTAATTGTAATTCTCAACATAATTCAATGAAGTGGGTCCTGTTATTGTTCTTGTTTCACAAACGAGGAAACTGAGGCTTGGAGAGTCTAAATGGCTTTCTCAAATTTACACAGCTAATAATTGATGGAATCCAGAATTAAACACAGGGAGTTTACTGTCTTAACCTCTAACCTATTCAGATGTCTAACACTATACTAGGTTCTAGAGATGCATATTAAGACATAATTTGGCACACTTCACAAATTGTTTACCTTACACAAGCCTCAGTCACAGTACAAAAAGAAGCAGTGCTATGATAGAAGAAGGCCAAGGTGCTCTGGGATCATGGGGCAGAACCCAGGGGAAGGGAATGAAAGCCCATGTCATTGTCACACAGCCTTTGAAAGAGTTCTGTCTAGGATGTGGCTTAAAAGTGGGGGAGAGTGGCCATAGGAGAAAGGGATGTTCCAGGCACAGGAACAGCATATGTGAAGACCTGGAGAGAAGAAAGGGAACAGCTCATCTGAGGAAGTACAAGAAGTGTGGTCAGGATGAGAGAAATAGGGGGCTGGAGAACAGCAGGGACTGTAAAGAGGATGGCCTCGAGGGCTCTGGTTCAAAGCATAGACATCATCAAGGGTAGTAAGAGGATAGGGGAGGGTTTTAGACAACACAGTGGCACTACATGACTTGTGCTTTTGAACGATCCCTTGACAACAGTGAGGAGAATGGAGGATGAATGCAAGATGGGAAGCTGGGAGAGAGGTTAAGGAGTGTGGTAATAATGGTGTGTCCTTTTTCAAATTCACTAGACCAAAGAGAGCTTTGAGAACACAAGCATCAGGCATGACCTTAGTATGTATGAACTTCTGTCTGAAAATCTGTTGCTGTGGCCCCAGTAGGGACTTGATAAATCCATACCTAGATGGTTTCACCAGTGTTTTCTGAGACAGAACTACAGCCCCGCTTTTTTCTACTGCTCCCCATCTGCCCACAAATGTGAGGGGCTGCCTAAGCCTATGCAATGATTTGTTGTAAAGGCATTGGCAAGCTGGCAGGGTCTTTATCTCCCACTATGTTCCTCATATTGTAGATAAAAGGAAAACTTCAGGATGAGTTGTATGGAAGCTGACGGAGAGGAGACCAGACCCTGTTTGGAGGCATTTAAACTTATTTCACAGTTAATGCAGCATCTGGGGCACATTTTCCTACTTTTATGCCAATTTTTATATGTTTCCATGACACAGTCAGAAGCCAGGATCATAAAAAAGAAGGAAAATGGTACAAAAAATAAAAGTAAATAAGCACATTCTGCTTTAACACTCCCAGGAGCACTGAGTCCAGCAAGTTTATGAGTTAGAGAAAAGGAAGGAAAAAAAAAAACAAACTATACCACTGTATATAAAGGGAAGGAAATACAATTTTTTTGTCTTAGGAAACATCAAACAAAGACAGAGTAGAAGCTCTGACCAGAGAGTAGGCAGAACAATGTTTAGTCCAGAATCTTTCACTAATTGTTCAAGTGGCTTGGTGTCAGTCAAAGCTCTCCTATGGATCCACTTCTCACTTACACAAAACAAAGTTTGTGCTAAATGCTCTTCAAGAGTCTCTAGTTCTACAGATATGTTTATCATCCTTCACACTGTGCTAGGCACAGGGGATCTGGGCAGATATACAAAACCTGATCTATTTCGTCAGGCGGCAGACAGGGTCTCACTCTATTGCCCAGGCTGGTGTGCGGTGGCACCATTGTGGCTCACTGCAACCTCAAACTCCTGAGCTCAAGCAATCCTCCTGCCTCAGCCCCCCAAGTAGCTGGGACTACTGGTGTGCACCATCATTCCCAGCTAATTTTATTTTCATTTTCTGTAGAGACAATGTTTCCATATATAGCCCAGGTTGGTCTCAAACTCTCGGCCTCAAGTGCTTCTCTCTCCTCAGTATCCCAAAGAAGGCCTGATTTCCAAACTCAGGGAATTGAAGTATATTATAAAAACAAGACTAATTTTATCTTAACACCCTTAGAGCAGGGATTTCTCTAACTACACTGCCATACAAAAGACTGAGGTCTTCCTCAAAAATTGAATAGTGTGGTCTTACTTCAAATGCAGGAACAAAGTAAATTAATAGATAGCATTTATAGTATAGAAGACCCCCCAAATTGATGACCTCTGAACATCTGTTTACATTATATAAATTATTTTAGAATGTTATTTGATTTAGCAAAAGCTGAAAAACGGCTATTTTGGTTGAATGTAACATTTTTTATGGTTTTCCATAAATAGCTTACACTTTTAAGTAAGCTAAAGCTCAGGGGTTAAAATCCTAAACTCCTGTATTATACTTGAATTTTGTTCTAAGTTCTGACATTCTGGTTGTGAGTCTTTAAGAAAAGTTATTCTTCGAAAAACATTCTTTTAGCTACAAAATGGGGGCAATAATGATACCTACCTCATGTATTTTGTGGGGATTAAGTCATATAAGGACATAAGTCACTTATCACAATGTTCAGTAAAATAAGCATAATGTAAATAGGCAGTGGGATGTAAAGCACAAGAAAGTAAGTTGATGAATTTGAACTGGACCTTAAAGAAGGAAGACGTAAACAAATAAAATGAGGTAATAAAAATACCATTTGGCAGTTATGGTAGGTAGATTGCAAAATTAGCCCTAATTGTTCACCACGTTATATAGTCCTTTCCATAAAGAGATGAGCCTATTTTCTCACCTGTGGAGGGTAGCTGGCTTTGTGATTTGCCTTGGCAAATAGATTGTGGCAGAAACATTGTGCCAATTTTGTGCTTAGACTTTACACACCTTTGGAACCCCGACTTCACTTTAAAAGCAAGCCTAGGCTGGCCAGCTGGAGAATAGGGGTCACATGGAACAAAGATAAGTCAACCAAGCTGTCCAAGCTGAGGTACCAGGCATTCTGAGAGGCCGAGATAGAACCACCTAGTTGACTTTAGTTGACCTCAGGTACATGAGTGAGTCCCGCCAGCCCAGCTCAGATCAGTAGAAGCCATATGGGATTATGTTAGTTACACAGGAATAGCTAACAGATACTATGTCAATGACAGTGGTGGTAGCAGAGAAAGAAGAATGGGAAAATGGTTTCAACTGTATGAGAAGGTTAAGTCGAATAAAGTGGATGTCACATATCTGTGAGCTGGAGAATATTAGGTTTTGTAGCAGAAATAAAGACAAGTTATAGAGTATATTAAAGTTCACAAAAAAGAAATAAAGAGTCATTTATTATAATTTGTAGGAAAGCAAAAACATTCTAAATGAAAACACCATATATTACAGTGTAATAAAAGAACAAGTGATGTTGATAACAAATGACATTAAAGATGAATACCTTTAATATGTAGAGTTCTAAGATATTCATCAAGAAAAATAAAACCTAAAAAAAAACAAAAACAAAAACAAAAAAAAACCCTTAAGGGCCGGGCGCGGTGGCTCACGCCTGTAATCCCAGCACTTTGTGAGGCCAAGGCGGGTGGATCATGAGGTCAGGAGATTGAGACCATCCTGGCTAACACGGTTAAACTCTGTCTCTACTAAAAATACAAAAAATTAGCCGGGCGTGGTGGCAGGCGCCTGTAGTTCCAGCTACTCGGGAGGCTGAGGCAGGAGAATGGCATGAACCCAAGAGGCGGAGCTTGCAGTGAGCTGAGGTCGCGACACTGCACTCCAGCCTGGGCGACAGAGCGAGACTCCGTCTCGAAAAAAAAGAAAAGAAAAGAAAAGAAAATGTTTCCCTTATCCTAGTGCTGTCGAACATGTTGTTACCAGCCTTATCCCTTTATCTAATTACTTTTTATTCAACTTTTTGATCTCAGTCTCTTCCTCAAGGAAGTCTTTCTTGAACTTCCAGATTGTAATAGATCCTCTTGTTACATGCTCCAAAGCAACCTGCTCTTCTCCTTTCACTCATCATTATTTGTTCAATGTCTATTACTTCCACAGGATTGTAAATTCCATAAAGCATGAGTTGAAACTGTTTTGTTCACCAATATAATTCCAGTATCTGCAAAAATATCTGACATAGGGTAGACCTTCAATAAGTATTGGAAAATAAATAAATTGCTGAGTGATGGCCATGGATAATGGCTTACCAAAAACCAAATAAAAATAAAACAAAAGCATAATTACAAAAAAGCCAATGCCCATTAACAACAAGGCCAGTCTAGCCACACATGTAATCAAGAAATACAAATGAAAACAAAATATTTCCTATAGCTGAAAATAAAGGCTAAAAATATTAATAGTAAGACTCAATGCCAGTGAGGCTGTGGTGTGTAGCAATGAACTGATTATCAATTGATGCAATCATTACAGAAAGAAATTTAACTATTAATTCAGATACTCATATTCTTTAAGTCAGCAATTTCACTTCTAGAGAAAAATAATCAGATATAGACCAACTTTTATGAACTAAGATGGTCATTGATTCTAATTGTAACAGAAATAATATCTATGATCAATCAGTAACATTATTGTATTTAAAGACAGTATAGTCTAGAGGTTAAGAATGTGAGTTCTAGAATAAAAGAGATAAGTTCTAACTAATCCTGGGTCCATCACTTATTCATATCGTGGCTACCTAACCCCTGTGGCTTCATCTGTAATGGCAGTATGTTAATCAATACATGTCTGGGTTTTAGGAATTAGTCGTTTATCTCATTTTCCACTTATGCACCCATTGCTTTTTGAGGAACCAGTAGCTCCCATTGACCTTTCAAATTCCCAATTTGCTTTTTTGTATTCTTTGTGGCCCTAAGCAGCTAAAGGAGGCTGTCCTGTGTATTAATGTGTGTAAATGTAGCTTAGAACTACTATGGGTAACAATGAGTAAGGAATGGGACTATTCTGTGTGTGTACATGTACACATGTGTGTATGTGTGTGTGTACGTGCATGTGTGCGTGTTGTCTTTTGCTGCTCTAACTTCCAATGTTCTGAGCTAGTTTTGTTCTCATAAGTAAGAGTCTAAGCTTGAACACAAAGTATTCCTTCCTGAAAAGAAAAAGAGAGAAAAAAGCAAAAGTAAAAAATAAACTAATAGCTGAAATGGTATAATGATAACTAATAGGTTTAATGGGCTGTGTGGCATGTCTGACTAAGTTCTTGACAAAAGACAAGACTAAGCCACTAAAAATAGACAAAAATGACATGTTTTTGGATATTAGAGTTATAAAACTAACTTAATAGCTCCATCTTTAAAAAGTCTTTTTGGAGCCCAGTTTTGTATAGAAACGAACTTGAGGTTAGAAATTAAGATATCTAGCTATCACTGTTTCACTGTTTCCAAATTTTTGTGACACAATTTTATTTTATCCAAGAGCGGACTATAGGAAGAAAGTATTATGTAATTCATGGTCCATAATATTAAGTAGTTTAATTTTGGCTCCTATTTTGTTTGTTTTATAATTTACTTCTTGTTTATCAGAGAGCTTAAATCCTATGTAACACAATGTTTAATAGGGTAAGTATTAAATACCCTTGTTTATCAATTGGGAATTAACTGAGCTGTTTTATTTAATCTTTTTAGCATAAAATTTTGGTGTTGGAATAATTTTCAATTTACAAAAAGTTTACAAAGATAGGACAGAGAATTTCCATATATTCCCCACTCACTTTACCACATAATTAATATTTTACATTACCATGGTGCATTTTTCAAAACAAAGAAATGTCATGAACTATTGACTAAACTCTAGACTTTGTTTGTATTTCACTGTTTTTACATTGATGTCCTTTTTCTGTTCCAGCATCCAACCCACTGTACCACATTGTATTTAGTTGTCATGTCTCCCAATTTCCTTTGGTATATACCTGTTCCTCAGTCTTTCCTTGTTTTTCTTGACTTTGACATTCTTGAAGAATACTGGCCACCTCTGTGTTCCCCTAAAGATTCAGTCTGTAGAGGTATTCTGGAAAATGTCCCTCAATTTGGCTTTGTCTCATGTTTTTCTCATTATTCGACGGAAGTGATAGGTTTATAGAAAAAGTAGCATAGAAGTGTCACATATCATCACTTTTTTAATCACATATAGGAGGGTACATGATATCCACAGGACATGACTGATGATGCTGATCTTTATTACTTTGTTAAGGTCACATTTGTCATATTTTTCTATGGTAAAATCACAGCTTTCCCTTTTCCTACTCTATTCTATGGAGGTGAGTCACTAAGTATGGCCCATATTCCAGGGAAAGCAAGATTCATGCTCACCTCTTCTAGGAGGAAGTATCAACAGAGATTATTTGTAATTATTCTGTATGAAAGATTTATTTATTCTCTCCTGTTTATTCATTTCTTCAATAATTTATTCAGTATAGACTCATGCATATTTATTTTATATTTTGGGTTATAATCCAGTATTACACTATTTTGTTGCTGAAATTGTTGAAGAGTTTGTTGTTGGGAGCTCTTTCAGATTGGTTCTCATGTTTCTTTGACATGCCCCATCCTTTTGATTTTTGAACACATCTTTACTTTCTAGTACTACAAAATGCTTGAGGCTCATCTTGTATTTTTTTCCTGTCCTAGCACTGGAATCAGAATTTTTGGCTTTCTAAGTAAGCTTTTTAAAGGTGCCCTGATTTCTACCATTCATTCATATAATTTAAGTGATTTTACCATGGATCAGTCACTAGTCCTGGATGTTGTGGTGCTGAGCATACAGAGATGCTTATCTTTGAGTAATCTCTCACTGTCCATCTCTCTCCATTCCCAATGAAATGGTTAGACTAAAATTACTGTACTTAAGGATGATCCTAATTTTAAGAATAAAATTTTAATAGCACTAAGCCAAGAGCTATATTCTCACTAAGCTCTTTTTCTAACGACTCTAGTCCTTGAAGCTTGTCTTTGAAGTCCTTGGCTAAGTCTTCATGCTGTGGCTATCCCTAGCCAATTTTAAACATGGACCAGTACCTGCAAAAGAAATGGTATGTTAGAAGGATTCTAATGCAATAGGTAACAGCGGGTAGCAGATGACTCGCCATTTGCTTGATCATAGGCCTTACCTGGGATGAGGCAAATTAGTGTCACAGAAGGAGAAGGAAAGCTGAGAAGACACACTATTATTCACCCCTTTGTTCCCCTTGATCTTTCATTACTATCTCCCACCCTTCTGATCCCCTAAAGATTCAGGCTGTACCAAGCCCATGGAAACACTAATGATGCTGAGTCATACATGCTCTCTATCAGATTCTGTTCTCTCAACTCACCAAATGCCCTTTGAGGAAACATTCAGAACCTGCTTTATCCACCTGTGTTTTCTGATGCCAGCAAAGCCACTGGTTCCTTCCCCTTGTTCCAGGCCCCCTATGGCATAATTCAGATAATGTACATTTTAAGCCACCCCCTTTTCATTTCTGTACATTTGGTCAAAGACAGGTCAGGATTTGGGCATTCTCATTACAAGCAAGGCTTCACTGCAGCTGTAGTGTGCCCTGGAAAACCTGGTCGCCCGCTCTTTATTTTTAATGAAAAAGACATGGCCTTAATCTTCTGGTTTAAAAAACAAAAACAAAAGGTAAGTCCTGGCCTGGGGTCAAGAGACCTCAGTTCGAGGCAACAGCAGCCCTTAGATTATGCATGGTATGGTATATGTGGACCCAGTTTCTTCATCTGTAAAGGAAATATAACTACATCTGTTTTGACAACCCTACAGCTTGTGGGAAAAATAACTGAAACATGAAAAAGTACTAATTTTTATCATATGAAAAAATTATCTACCATTAGAAAAATTTGGCCAATCCTATAAATTCTTTGGCTTAGATTAAATAGATAATAATGTTGAAGATTAGTGGCTTTTTAACATATAGAGAACTGATAAAGAGGAGGAAGTAAGGCTCAGAGAGGATTACAGCATATGAGTCTAGCTATCAAAGTCAGGTCACAATCAACCATCCAGGGCAGCATCATGCAATTATGATCTTTGAAGTCTATTTCTGGAGCCTCCAACTAGTCCCTGTTTCCTTCAGTCCCTTGTCCATATAACCACCAGAGTAATCTTCCTCAAAGACTCATTCACATATTCTCCCAAGTCCTACTGCACAGTTTCTCAAGTTTCAGGGTGCATCAGAGTCACCTAGGGGTCTTGTCAGTATGAATTCTAGTATGAATTCCTAGAATTTGGCAGGACTGGAACCTTCACTCCAAGAAGCAGTCCTGGTGGGCTAGGTGGATTGAGAGCCACCTAGAAGAAAGCTGGGCTACAGGATGAAATCCAGACTCCTTGTCCTGGCATTCAAGGCTTCTAAATCTGATCCCTACCTCCTTTTTCCACACATTATTTATCCCCCATTCCAATTACCTTGGCAGCTAACAGAAATAAGGAGTGCAGAGCTCTCTTCTTTAGAAAGCATGCCAATATCTGAATATACTCTTCAAGCCTGACTTCAGTCCTTGCCCATCCAGGCTGCACTCCCAGTCCTTGTCAGCCCATAACAATACCTCCCTCTGCCAAACTTTCATTGCATGAGACTTACTGAATCATTTTTTGGGGTGAATGAAGGGAATGACAATGAGAGAAGTTTTCCTAGAAGTACTATCAGATCATTTGCATTGGGATTACAAAGAAGAAAAAGTTTTCACCGGGAGAGTTTGTTCATACATGAGAAGAGTCATTTTTGGTGGAAAAAGCACAAGCAAAGGCAGGGTCTGCGCATGTTTAAAAAACTCTGTGTCTAAATCATGTTTACTGAACATGGAAATTGAAGGTCAAGGTCAGATCATAGAGAGGGCTTTGCATGTCTTTCAAAATATCATGGGCTTTGTTCTTGACAGAGAGTGGTTGAAGATTTGGGGGATATTATGATGCTGCCTACAAAGTACTCATGTCATACAGACTGAGGAAAGGCAACAGAGCCTGCTCAGGTTCAAATGTCAACTAGTCTGTTTCTTATCTGTATGATATTGGACCAATCGTTTTACTTATTTGAGCCTATTTTCTCATCTATATTAGAGCAGAAATAATAGATGTCATTTTGTAGTGTTCTTGCATACACATGACAAAGAAAGCAGCCCTTAGTAATTATATACCAACACATATTTAATGCCCATGTAGTATACAGGAGATGGGTATTATCCCCCTTTCTAAAAATAAAAATCATCTTTGAAGATGATAACTTGCCTATAGTAACACAGCTACTATGAGCAGAAATGAGAAGTATTTTGCCCTACATAAAAACTGAATGGGACTTAAGGGACCATCTACTTCAATTACCTTATTTTGTAGCAAAGAAAACAGAGGGTAAGCATTGTGAAGTAACTTGGTCAATATCTCACAGCAAACACTATGAGCACATCACAGTGTGAGATAATATGGGATACATAAAGATAAATGAGACCGTCCCTGCCTACAAAGAACTTTCGGACCAGCAGGGAAGATGGCAGGTATGAAAAACGAATCTGAACAGGAAGAAGGCATAGTGTCAGGGGGAGCTAGCTTGCACCTGGGCCTTGAGATTTGGGCCTACTGACCAATTGGTAGATGAAGGAGGGCTAGAGGTCAAAGTTGGATATGTGCTAGAAATGACTTACCGTGCCTTCTCAGCAACACACAGTCCAGTTTTTGGAAGAAAGCAACATTGGAGCAGCCACAGCTTCTTAAAATTGCTGTCTATAATTACGTTTGCTAAAAAAAACAAAAACTGGAGCAGCAGGGAACAGACCCTGTAGTTAGTCCCAAATCCTCCCCCTTACAATTCCCCAGTGCACATGCAGTGACAGCTGTCATTCTCCAAGCAGCTTAAAATCCTGAAGTGGCCTTGAAGCGGAGACTAGAGCCAGAGAAGCTGCGTCCGCCCCTGCCACCAGGGTGGCCTCACACAATGTGCTGGCAGCAGCCTTTGAAGAATGGCACCGAACCTAGAGGCACCGCAGGCCTCAGCAGCTCTGCTCTTTCCCCTGACAGGCAACTGCTGTGCTTCAATTTGGGCCCCTCTCCCAGCTGACAAACTCAAGACAGATCTGAGGGCTGGAATTCCTCTCTAGAACCTTGTGAGGCCACCCGTATCGCTAATCACTCCCAAGGCCTCATGGGGGAGCAGGGTAGGCACAGAGGACTGGTCATTAAAAAGAGACCTTGCTGAGATCAGGCTTCTGGGGCAGAACACCTTTGCTTTGGTTCTGGGAGCTGATGATCCAATTGTACATTGAAAGAGGCTGGCACAGGCCAAATGTATAACTTAAAGAGGAAAGGCCAAGTAACCCCATGGAAATTAACATTTTTGTGGCTGATAAGGAAATCCTTGCTTCCCCTATATTTTATAATCTTGGCTGAAATTCCACTAAATTAGGGGCATGAGCCTAGCTCCTTTGGGTCTTGAAGGTTTTCCAGGAATGACAGCCCTTGAGGCAAGCATTGATTATCAGCTAATACCCTAATAAAGAGGAATTTCTCTTAGGTTCCCTTCCAAACTCTGACCACTAGTTGAGAAGAAACTAGCCACACTGAATTCCACTGGGGCTTGGAGGTTTTATTAAAACATTGAGCGGGGCAGGTGGCAGGTGCCTTGATTACACTTTGCTATGACCATTGATGGATCTTGTGTCCCTGTTACTGGAACTTCTCTAACTCAATAGAAGTCAGGAAGGTTTTAATCAGACACATTATTTATTTATCTCTTCTACTGGTTATACCATCATCTCAGCAAGGTGGTTAATTATTATTTGTTGGTAACTACAGAAAATTACCGTCCATATTGTTCTTTTTAGAGAAGATTCTGACCCTTAATCCTACACATGCTTTGAAGTCCTGTAGTCATACTATCTCTCTAAGGGAACCTTCCTTCAGCAGCCAAAGGGAGCTCTTTCTCCTCCAAAATACTATAGCACTTTGTCTCATTAATAGAAATTTCAAAAAGTTAGATTTTGTTAAGAGTTAGCAGAATATTTGCTGTATTTTTTTTCACCTTTGAGTTAGTCTGGGAACAAAAATCATGAACCCAGAATCTTTACTAATTAATTGAACTCTTATCAAATCTGTGTCCATGCAACCATCTCTATTCACTCAAAACCAACATCAATCCAGACCAGGGATTGGTAAATTTTTTTCTGCAAAAAGTCAGATGGTAAATATTTTGGGCTTCCTTTGTGGGCCCTATGGTCTGTTACAACTATTCAACTCTGCTGTTGTAGTATGAATGCAGCCATACACAATATATAAATAAATATGTATGGCTGTGTGTCAATAAAACTTTATTTACAAAAACAGGCAGTGGGCCAGATTTGTTTCTTGAGCTGTAGTTTGCTGACTCTGATGTAGACCATAAAATATCACCTTCAAATGACAAATTTCTGTTGATTATCAGAATTTAGAGTTATAACAAAATGTAAAGCAGCTGCAAAGTCAATTTGCAAATTACAAGACTTTGTGATATCTGTGAAAGTGATGTTGGATAGCTCCTTGAACTATCTTTAAGCTGTGGGCAAATGAGGAGCTGGCAGAATTAAACTAGTGAAAGAGGAAAAAGAAATTAATAACTATCACAACAACCTAGGAGCTTCAAGTGAGAAGGACTTGGATATCAAAAGATGTAGAAAAGTCCTTGAGAAAATTGATGAGCTATCAAATATTCTTGTAAAAATTACTTATTTCATAATCATGATTTAAGAATCCAGCCTAAAGCAAAGGGTGGTATATCTTCCTACCACAAAATTGAAGAAAAATTATGCCAACAGATAATGTAGTTCATACTTAATTCATCTATGAATTAAGACATTGCTGCGATTTCAAATTAAATGTTGATTAATGAAAAATAAACATGGTTTTATATTTAAATTTCTTTTTTGTTTTTTTGTTTTCTATATTTTAATTTCATATTTCAAATCAGTTCCTGGCCAAATGTTTTCCTTCATCTATTACTATAAGAAAAAGCAATCCCTATTTTGAGTGTTTATGTTAAGGGGGCATTTATTATGTGAATTATCCTTATGTCATACAGGTTTCCTTTATGTAAAATCTCATCTTCTTAAAGGAGATCTCAAAGTTCATGAGGGTAACAACCACATCTAATTTTTTCTTCTTTTTCACAGCTCCCAGAATCACATTTTATAACCAGTAGACACTATAAGAATGCATACTTCCTTTGTGACTCATGTCACCTAATTCCTCTCTTTTAAAAGGAATAGATAAAAATATGCAGTCTTCACTTTAGAGGGTAGTGTGGGACCATAAAATGACTGTGCAAACTGTAACCACATAATGCAATCTTAATCATTAGTGAAATAATTATGATTGTCCCATGACCTTAAAATTTTTCATCAAAACTTTAAAAACTCTCCTGCTGTTGGTTATAAATATGTAAGGAAATAAAAAAAATAGTAAAACTAATATTTATTTGGTACACTCTAAAATACTAGAAATGTTGAGGATTAAAGTATTTCATTTCTTTGTTTAAAAAAACAAAACAGAACGTAGTTTGAACAGTGTTCACCTTCTGCTTGTCGTATAGCTTACCACACAGAACAGACATGTTTCCTATGCCCTGTGCCTTGGTGAACTGTCATCCTCCTTCGTAAATTTTCTCCTTTTTTAGTTATTTATTTATTTGAGACAGAGTCTCCTTCTGTTGCCCAGGCTGGAGCGCAGTGGCGCAATCTTGGCTCACTGCAACCTCCGCCTCCCAGGTTCAAGTGATTCCCCTGCCTCAGCCTCCCAGGCACTTGCCACCAAGCCCTGCTAATTTTTGTATTTTTAGTAGAGACAGGGTTTCACCATGTCAGCCAGGCTGCTCTTGAACTCCTGATCTCAAGTGATCCACTCACCTCGGCCTCCCAAAGTGCTGGGATTATATGCGTGAGCCACCATGCTTGGCCTAAATTTTCTTTTAATGCCATGAAATATCTCTAAGAGTTTTCCTAACGTGAAGCATTTTACTGGTATCACCCTCTCTGGGATATACTCACCCTTTTTGTCACACTTTTCTCACTAATTTTAATAATTTCACCTTTGCTAAGTTCCTTTAGTAGTATATTTGGAGTCATGGCAATGACAACCTTACCATGTTCAGCTATTTCTTAACTCCATTATGGTCTGATTCAAATTTCACTTCTTACATATTACCTTTCTTCTAGTACTGTTGCACTTTCATCTGTGTTGGCCAATTTTCTCTTTTGATTATCCAATTTTGTAAAGTTTCATATGGGTTTATTACTGGGAGATATGAAGGCAACACACAACTACATGCTTTGCTGTCTGTGAATAACAGATAAATGGTGACCAATTACCAACAGATTTTGAAAGAGGTGACATGATCACTTATTGATTATGACCTCCATCTGTTATTTATGCAGTGAGTTGTGGACTGAAGAGCTAGCAACAAAGTGTGTACTCTATTCAGTTAACCATAGTTAATATACTGTGGTAATTGCAATCTAAACCACGTTGATAGGAGACTGGCATTATGTAACTAAACTATGGCAACTAAAATCTGTGTATATTGGAATTGTGCTAAGTGAAGGACAGCATGTATATATTTTTATTATGTAAAATATGTAAAATAACATATTACTATAAAGTTTCTCTTTGAACCATATAAAGTATTGTCATTCAAAAACTCAATAACAGTTTTTGAGCTCCATTACTTTCTACAGTTACACCCGAAACAACCTCATGAGACTATGCAGCTCTGTGAATTTTTCATCCAGTGAAATAAAATTTGCTTTTTGGCCAATGATTCATCCTATGCCTCACAATGGGGAATGCAGCTGTCCTTGTGCATGAGCAGATGGCCCTGCCCCACCTTCTGGTGATCCAGAACACAGGGAACTGCCTACACCTCCTTCCTGGGCAAATGCCCTGGGTGAGATGTTTAATTTGGTGGTGCAGGACAGCGAGATGCTGGATGGTGCTGGGACATGGTGGGAACTAACACTGGGCTTGGGAAGAGAAACAGGCTTAGGAGAAGGTCAAGCAGACTGTGGTAGCTCACACATTGTGATTTGGAATATGATAAAGAAGACCTTTTGTACCAGTTGACCTTTAGTATCATTTTTGTACCATTTGACTATGTAATAATAATATCAGGGATTGTTTCTGTCTCTAGAACTCCACAGATGATACCCATACATCTCCTGACCCTAAAGTCTTTTTCCAGTGTAACATCACCATTCAACAGCTCGCATATCTAACTCATTTAATTTTTTTATAGCAAACCAGAAAGAGAAAGTACACACTGTTTTATGTTCTTTTTCTTTCAGAATAGGGAGCTGAGATCCATAGCAGTAAGCCACATGCCCAAAGTCTCACTGAAGTCTCACCAGGAGTCCATGACAGAGTCACAGAAACCCTAAAAATAAGCTAAAAAGCTAGAGATGATGTTTCCCGTAGATTTATGGAAGGGACTTGATGATAGGACTACATAGCAAAGTGGAAGGTACATAAAAGAAGGGGAAAGTTAAACAGGAGTCCCCAAAGAATGTTCCTCTGGTCCCCAGTTTTTAGGAATGTGTTTTGATGACTCTTATAATTTCTACAACATGTTAATTTGCAATAATGATAGATAAAAATGAGAATATAGAACAACAGGGCTGTAAGCCCCTACTCTAGAGGGCCAATAATTTACTTACTCATGGATGAATTCTCATGCATGAATGATTTCCTCCCTTGATGGACTTCTAAGAGCAAGACAGTCCTGGGGAAAGACCTGCAGCAGTGGGTCTCAAAATTCTGAGGCTGAGGCATCTGCTGCAGGATCAAAAGTAGGCATTGGTAGGGGAGGCTAATGTTCTCAAGTGATAGCTGCAGAGGTGGGAATGAGATTAAAATATTGGTTTGTAAAGCAACATTTTCACCAAAGAGAGAGCTGCCTTTCTATCTGCAGTAACCTCTCTTCTTGTATCCAGCAAAGTATATGTTCTTCTTTCTTTTATATTAGCATCTTAATTTTCCTCTTGGAGAATTCTCCCATCTCTCCATCTCATATCATATTGTTTTAATGATCTCTGGGGTCTTAGTGACGGCAATAATTCAGCCATAGTTAAATCAACACATTGTCCTGGCCACGGTGGCTGTTAAGGGCCAGGCACATGATGCAAGACAGGAAATGATGCTTAATCCTAGGATGTGTGCTGAAAATGGTGAAATGGAATATTTTCTCTCTCTACCAGGATTGAACCTGGGAAAATATAAGCCTTCATCTGCTAGGCTCCACCATGCAGACAGCCTATCAGAGGAAAGCTTTCCTTTTATGGACTCACAGAGTTCTGACAATATTGTTAGAGGCCCTGGATCCAACCATGCCTTATGTAAACTTCTCTGTTATATGATCAAATAGTATTTGTAGTGTTGGGGGAGAATTAGGCACAGCAAAAAGAAGGGTTTTACCCAAAGTTACATAGCTGGTCTGGTGAGTGGCAGAGTTAGAATAACAACCCAAATATTTAAACTCCGAGTTCAGGGCTAATTTTAGTCTTATGATACAGAGACAAGGTTTTTGGAAGCAAAGAAAACATGTGAGAGATAAAGTTAGTAGAGCCATAGTTCCAGGTAGGAGACAAATGTAGTAGCAGGAACACACAGAGGCTAGTACCTCAAACCATATAGCAGTACAACCATAGCGCAATGCAGAAATCTTGCTCTGTGATTTTGGTCATTCAAACATGACCAAACAATGTAGTTAATGAAACATCTATTTCTGGCTTCAGAAGGCTGGAGCAAAGGTTTTATGATTTACTCAGAAATCACAAAGAGAGGTAATGAGGGTTTTTAAATGAAGCCATTTAGATTTCCTATTGTTCAGGATAGATGGTAACATAAGAAAAATCCCTATTTCACTTAATTTTGAGAATGTGCCAATGTCATGATGTTAAGCGTAGGCTTTGCTTGATAGATTGAAAGACCGGCTGAAAGAACCAAGACTGCTTCAAGTGGCCCACAGTAGTACCTATCAGACTTTGCAATGACTTCCAATTGCTTTTCTAATTATTTATGTTTGTCCTTGTTCCCAAACCTTAAAGAAATTCTACAGGATCATTTTACTTTTCCTTTAGATTATTACCTTGTAAAAGCCAAGTTCCAGCAAATTACATAGAAATGTGATAGAGTTAGGTTAAAATGGTTCCTTGATACAAACACATAATTCTACCAAGAAAGCCAAAGTTAAACATGTCTTTCCTTTTTTGGACATGCCTATCCTCAGTCGTTCCTCTAGACAACTCCAAAGGAAGGCACTAAAATACCTCGAGTATGCCCTTGTCACTCTCAGGAACATATTGTGTCTTATCTGTCATTTTGTCTTCCAGACAATTCTATGTGATATGATGAGGTTGAATGGCAACAAACATTTTTTTTATTGCCAAAAAAATCTAGAAAATGATTTCATGTGTTTGATGATTTTAAAAAAGCCAGTTCCTTTTTTTTTTTTTTTTTTTTTGGTTTCTGACAATGAGAGTAATTCTTACAAATTAAATGGTGGAATGGTCTTTGTTAGAGGAGAAAGAAAGCTCAATATATAAAAGAGATGGTAAGAATTATTCTCAAAAAGTTCAAATTTTCAGACTTAGAACAAGCACACTGAGGGAACTGTTAAATAGAATTACTGTACTCCTGGCTAGTTTTTGAGGAGCCTCGTTACAGTAGAAAATGTCATAGATTATTGGAGTTAGGCAAGAACAGTGAATCAACTTCTGGCCAATTAGTACAATGTCAATTTTGGAGGGAGATTTAGAATAAGGTATTTGAAGATGTAGTTTTTGGACCCTGTTATGAAGTTGTAATAAACAAAGAGAAAAGATACTTTCTGTTAATGGTAAATATTGCAAGGAAAAACATATTAAGTTTATGATGTAGTAATATAAGTTAGCCTTCATTTTTTAATGATATCATTAATTCTCATTGGCGAAAATTTTGCCTCCCTCTTGATCCCGAGGCATTTAGCATTGTCTGGAGGCATTTTGGTTGTCACAGATTATGTAGAGGAGTGCTACTTGCATTTGGTGGGCAGAGGGCAGGGATGTTGCTAAGCATCCTTCAATGCGCAGGACAGCCTCTACCATAAATAATTATTTGGCCCAAAATATCAAGAGTGCTGAAACTGAGAAATTCTGGTCTAGAGAATGCATTCTCAACAACAGTAATAGTGCCTCTGAGGGCACAACAATTGGTTTTTAGGGGATGAGAAATCTTATTATTTTTATGTATAAAGAACAAATACACACAGGGTACATGCACAGATATCTGGTATATCTGTGGCATTAAAATTTCACAGGGCAGGGTAATGAAAAAAACAAAACAAAACAAAAAGTCTCAAAAGGTCCCTTGTGGGAACAATCATGAATAAAAAGATTGGAAACACTTACTTAGAACAGGGATTAGAGAACATTTTCTGCATAGGGCCAGACAGTAAATCTTTATCCTTTGTGGCCATGTAATCTTTGTGGTAACTAATCGACTTTGCCATTGTAGCACAAAAGCAGCCACAGACAGACAATACATAAACAAATGGGGATAGCTATGTTCCAATAAAACTTTACTTAAAAAAAGAAAGAGAAGGGCCATATTTGGCTAATGGGCCATAGTTTGCTGAACCCTGGTTTAAAGATTAGTATTGAAACCATAAAAAAAACTAACGTGAATGCCTTACTAACATGTAGCTATGTTAAGATGATTTTGTGTGTGTGTGTGTGTGTGTGTGTGTGTATGTGTGAACAGTAAGAAAGACTCAGTTATCTGAGCAATTAAAGGCAATTTCCCTTTGAGTACAATTGAAAAATTGTCTCTGCAAATTTGATGAATGGATTAATATCAAACTTGAAGGAAATCTCTGATGATATACCAGAAGGTGATATACCTGGCATTTCAGTTTTTAAACAGTATTTAAAACATAAAATCATATAAATTCAAATTCATGAGACATGCTTATCACATAGTAAAAGGCTGGATGTGAGGATGGAGAAGAACTGCATTAAATGACAATTAGAGGCCACAACAGAGAGGAATTGGCGACTGGATTTGGGATGAAGAAATATAATGAGGTTTCAATATCAAACTGCTGCTGCAAAAAACAGCTGGTCTGCTTTCTGAGGTATCACATAGCACAATAAAAGCCACCAGCTTTAGTTTGTAAAGTTTATATCTTCTCCACTGACTCCTCAAATGCTAAATCAATAACTTAAATTTAAGGTAGTTTTTAATCTACTGAACTTCATCACTGGTACCAAAATATAAGGAACTTATATTAGTAGACTGTTTTTGTTTTGGTTTGGTTTGGTTTTTTGGTTTTTTTGTTTGTTTGTTTGTTTTGTTTTGTTTTTTGACAGAGTTTTCAATCCTGTCACCCAGGTTGGAGTGCAATGGTGCTATCTTGGCTCACTACAACGTCTGCCTCCCAGGTTCAAGCGATTCTCCTGCCTCAGCCTCCTGAGTAGCTGGGATTACAGGTACCTGCCACCATGCTCAGCTAATTTTTGTATTTTTAGTAGAGATGGGGTTTTGCCATGTTGGCCAGGCTGGTCTCGAACTGCTGACCTCAGGTGATCCGCCCGCCTCGGCCTCCCAAAGTGCTGGGATTACAGGTGTGAGCCACTGTGCCTGGCCTATTAGTAGACTATTGATCTAGATGCACGTAATTGTTTCAACTCAACAGTGGCTTAAATAAGGTACACATATTTATCGAGTAATTGTCTAAAGGTGGTCAGTCCAAAGCTGAAGAACATCTCTACTCTGTAAGATTATCCAGGGACCCAGTCTTCTTAATTTGCTGTCCTGCCATTCCTAAGATGAAGTCCCTCATCTGCATGGTCTAAAATGGCTTCTACTATATCCATAATCCAGGCGGCAGGATGAAAAGGGAAAGGGAGAGTAGATCCCTTTAGGATCATGACTCAGAAGTTGTACATATCACTTTCATTCCCATTTTATTTTCTAGGATAGCCACATAGTCATAACTTACACAGGAAGGCTGGGAAAAGAAGTCACTAGCTGGTGTGGGGTCAGGAGTGAACATGTGCCTACATTATATGTAGGATATTATGTATAAGAAATGGTATATGGGTGTTGAGGATTTAGAGATCAACTAGAAGTCTCTGCCACAGAACTTAAGTAAAAACAAACAAGTTGTTGAATAGCTCAAATAGGATGATCAACGTCTTAGAGGGATCTGAAATCACATCATAGAAGGAGAAAATCATATTTGGGCTATAAAAGAAAAGACATTTGGGAATTATGAAACAGTCTTTCAAAAGAGATAGAGGCTCTTTTTTACATAACCAAGAGTATGAATGGCTAGAAGTTTTAAGGAAGAAATTAGGAACACAGGAAGAGAAAATGTCATGCCACACATTGTTTTTTTGTGTTAAAGATACAAAGATGAATAAAATTTATGATCTCTGCCTTACTGGATAATAGGATAATAATTAAGGAGTGAGTAGAGGTGTGTGTGTGTGTGTGTGTGTGTGTGTGTGTGTGTGTTCACAGTGGGATAAACTAGCAGAAATATTTGGAAATTCATACATGATATTGGGGATTTTTCTGAACTCCTAAGCTACTTTATATGTCAAAGAGGTATGATTCTGTCAAATATAAATTTTTCATTCTCAAGTTCTATCAACCAGTTGACTTAGGATCAAAAGAAAAAAATAGTTTAAAGGGTGGTGGCCTTAAAAAATCAGATATTTAAACAAAAACAAACTTGTTTGTTTTAAGGCCTCTAAATTAAATATAGTGTTGAAGGAGTCTAATTGGTGGTTGCATTTATTCGCAAGTCTTGGCCCTTCTCATCCCTGTAGAAAACTATAATCCTCATGCTGGAGCACTCTGCAATCTGTCACTGGGGGGTTCTGACACCCAGTGGGGAGCAATTTAAATGCTCCTATGCCCTGGCAGCAGCAATCCCATGCCATGCCCTTTATGTATTCATATAGGGACTGCTCAAGTCCCTATATGAATACATCTTTTCAGCTCATGAAGAAATCAGAATTTGTTTACAAAATAAAAGCAAGAGATTATTTTGAGGAGTGGGAGGAAATACATCTACTGCAGGAGTATGAGACATGGCCAAAGATACAAAGAAGCCTAGGTTCCACGTAAAATCCCACCACTGAGGAATGGAACCCTCACAAGTTTCTCTGCTTCTCTGAGCTTCAGTTACCTCACTGATAAACAGAGGGCTCATCATCCCAATCCATTCTGGCAATACAAGTTATGTGGCTGATAACTGCTTTAAAAAAGATTGGCTGGGCCTGGCGCAGTGGCTCATGCCTATAATCCCAACACTTTGGGAAGCTGAGGCAGGCAGATCACAAGGTCAGGAGTTCGAGATCAGCCTGACCAACATGGTGAAACCCCGCCTCTATAAAAATTAGCTGGACATGGTGGCATGCACCTGTAATCCCAGATACTCAGGAGGCTGAGGCAAGAGAATCGCTTGAACCCAGGAGGCGGAGGTTGTAGTGAACTGAGATCGTGTCATTGCACTCCAGCCTGGGGGACAGAGCAAGACTCTGCCTCAAAAAAAAAAAAAAAAAAAAAAAAAAGATTGGTTGGAAAACCTATAGACAGAGTATGACCTGTGTATTAATAGTACACCACAGTCCACACCACTCCCTAATGCAATGCCTAAGCCCACTCTACTGCTGACATTACCTTCTAGTCCTGCTAGGCATATGATTTTGAAACCTAAGCTCATAGTAGTTGGACACTTTCTATATGCCAGGTGTTTGCATACATATCTCACATAATCCTCACAGCAATCTTCTGAGGGGATGATTTCTATGGGCAAAAAAAAAAAAACAAAAAGCAAAAAAACTCAGAGAGCTTAAAGAATTTGCTCAAGCTTATACAGCTAAGAATTTGTTGAGACAAGATTTAGATCTAGGCAATAAGTCTTCAGAACCTGTACTCTTAACCACTGTGTTCTTTTGTCTACAAAATTTCCAAGGTCATAAGAACCACCAGCAGTAAGGGTACTATTTAAGAGCTTGGAGGGTAAATGAAACCTGAATCCAAATCCAGGTTTTACCACTACTCACCTTCATACCTTATAGGGTCCTTGGGAAATTTAAATGAGCCAAAGCATGTAAAACACTCAGCACAGAGAAATTGCTCAAAAAATAGCCATTACTAGGCTAGAAATATTTCTATAATGCAGATATAAGAATAGTTATTAAATAAATGAAATATTATGTTATTGGTCCAAAGACTGGTTCAAAGCTGCGGTTTCCTTTATAAGCTGGTTATTGGCATACTCTAGGGTGTTCTTTCTTCAGTTTCTCTCATATCAGAGAAACGTATGAGTAGCCCTCAATCAGGAGTGACTTTGACCCTCATAAGACATTTGTCAATTTCTAGTGACATTTTTGGTTGTCAAACTTTGTGGCAAGGGAGTTGTAGTGGAAACTCATAGACAGAGGCCAGGGATGCTGCTAAACATCCTTCAGTGCACAGGAAAGCCCTCCACAACAAAGAATTATCCAGCGCCAAATGTCAATAGTACCAAGATTTAGAAACCCTGGTTTTGGTTAGTGTAAAAATCCTCTAAAAAGTCTTCAGTTAAGTGGACTTAATATTTTACAATTTTTAAGCAATTTTATAAAGGTCAATCTGTGTACAACGTGTATGCTACTTGCCTCTCATCCTGAGCCCAGATGGGCCCACATTACAGGGCTCCCAATGCAGAGAATTGTACCAACCACGTGGCACATACTAAGTGCTCTTGAAAGAAAGGAGTATCTCTAGATGGGGCAGCATTCTTTAGCTCCCAGGCAGAAATTTGAAGTGGGTGAGCTTTTCTTGTTTTGAGATAGACTAAGTAATGACCAAATCCTCATTTAACTTGAATCTATTTTCCCTGTTTTATAACAAGCACTGTGCTATGCACACAGGGAAATTTCAATCCATGGGAGAGTTAGCTGACAAATTATAATGTCCAAAAATATACATAAATCATTCACTTGATTCACTCACCTGGCCTCTGTCTATCCGAAGTAACCCAACTTCATTATCCAGATCTAGAAAAATCAACGTTGTATAAATACTCTTTGTTCTACTTCAGACTTGGAAATTTTCTTGCTATTTGTTGATTTCCTTTTTTTCCTGTATTTTTCTGACTTAAGAGCCCTATGAAGTTTTTGACTTTGAGTTGGTCTTTTGAGATAAGAGCCAGAGCTTCTGAGAGCCAGAGAAATATGCCAGTTTACTGTGCAACCCATGTGAAGACCAACCTTAAGTTTATCACTTGGCAAACTTGATTCACAGCTTATGTCATTTAAAATCAAAAATAAAATAACATAAATCTCAGCAAATTTATTCCCAGTGGCATTGTAGAGCAGTTTAGAATACAATAGCCATAAGTTGGTTAACTAGATGAAAGACTGTGTGTTTTATTCTAGTGCTATAAACTTCTAAATGTTCCTGGCAAAAAATGATAATAATAATAAAGTACCATTATGGACATAAAAAAGATTCTGTTAAAGTAGTATCCTGGTGTTTCATATTTATTCTTTCATTACGTGGCGTTTGGAATCAATTTTATGTTCCAAAGTTAAAGTAGTTTTCTCTCTAATTGGTAATAAGGGTGCATTGTGAGACTCCAAAAACGGGGGTAGAGGGTGGAAGACACTGTGAGGTCACCTGATTCAACCTTGTGATTTTACAGATAAGGAAATTGGAGACTAAGTTAAAAATGGTGCTTTGTTCTAAGTCACAGCAAAAGTGAGCAATCTATCCCAATCTTTAGAAAAGAAACCTTTCTTTCCTATCAAGTTTTCCCCAAAAGAAGAAATTCAAGGTACTTCTAGTCATTTTCTTAGTGTAATTGGTTCCTTCCCATATCTTGATTGATTTGTCCTTAGAATTTAACTGAAAGATAGAGTATACTTGTAGGATCCTAAACCCAGGAATGTTATTGATACTAAGTAGAATTCTCATCATTCATCTATCTACTATTGTACATCTAGCATGTGCTAATAACTGCAGGCCAAGAGAATATAGAGATACATAGGACCAACAAGGTCCCTAACCTCATGAAACTCACATTATACTGGAAGAAACAAATAAAATGAGTGACACAAACATTGTAATTGTGAAGTTTAATAAAAACTGTGAATGAAAAAAACATAATGTGATAAAGATAACCTAGAGGTGGGAGGTCTGTATATAGGGTAAGAGTAGAAAGAGCTTTTTCAGAAAGAGTGGTCAGGGATAGCCTCTCTGAGAAGGTGATATCTGAGGTGAGACAAGAGGGATGAGAAATTTCTTCTAGGGGAAGGAGACTCCAGATAGAAAGAATACCAAGCACAAAGGCTGTGATGAGTAAATGACTTGGGATATTGGATATATGGAAAGGGAGCCACAGGAATAGTTCATTGTAAATTAGGGAAAGCTAGATACGACATAACTTTTAAGAAGAAGGCAAGGGGCCCAGATCTTGAGCCAAGATAAAGACTTCTGATTCTATAAATCTATATAATCTATACAAACAATGTGTCTAGGACAAATATAAATATAGTTTGTGACATCAGATAAAATAGAGTACAGATTTATGAAAAATCCCTCTTATCTATAAAGGCAAAAAGCACATGGGAAAATTTGTCAGAATCAACTTTTTCAAAACTCTAAAAATTAACCAAAGACCTTTATAAATCTGAGGAGCATTTATTCAAGAAAAATGGCTGAATATTGGTAAGAATAGCAAGGTGTTTGGCATTTTAATTTGTCCTATTTTCACTTCCACCTCCAGCTCTGCATCAGCTTTGAAAGTAAACAATGGAAACCAGCCACCTGGCAGCCAGTGGAGGGAGCAGGACAGGGTTAAACTCCTTGAAAGCCCCATTCTAAGAGAATTATTATTATTTCCCATATCTGGTGATTTCTTGGAAAAACTGACTCACAAGACTGCCTTCATTAAGCCTGACATGGAAGTCACCCAGTGTGAAGAGCATTTTTCCTGAGTGTTTGCTAAAAATAATCAGAGGCAATTTTTTTTTTTTTAATCATTGTAGCATTTTGAGTTAGTGAGTAACAGTTGAGGCAAACAATGGGCTAACCAAAAATTTTAAAAAGAAAACTGGGGAATGAGATGTCCACAGATGCCTTTGAAAGTCTTTGACATACTTCTGGAATCTACAAGGCCATGCATATGCATAGAGCTGTGTGCATGTTGAGGGCTGTGTAAGTGTTCAGCCAAGACCTGAGAAGGCCCTAGGCTCTATTTCTGGCTGACCTTGAGGCTATGTGGAAGCTGAGCACTAAGATACCTAAGCTGAGACTTCAGTGGCCACACAAAGGACAGAATACAGGTTTTAGAGAATTAGTTCAGAAAAGTCACAAAACAAGCAAAGAAGAACAACAAACCCTGGGGAGGAGGAAGAAATTGATTTTCAAGTTTGCCACTTTATATTACTTAAAATGTCCAGTTTTTGTTTTGTTTTATCCAGTTTTTGTTTTGTTTTATTTTTGAGACAGGTTCTCATTCTGTTGTCCGGGTTGAAGTGCAGTGGCACAATGTTAGCTCACTGCAACCTCCACCTCCTAGGCTCAAGCTATCTTCTCATCTCAGCCTCCCAAGTAGCTGGGACTACAGGCATGTACCACCATGCCTGGCTAATTTTTGTATTTTTTTTTTTATTAGTTTGGTAGAGACAGGGTTTCACCATGTTGCTCAGGCTGGTCTTGAACTCCTGAGCTGAAGTGATTCACCTACCTTGGCCTCCCAAGTGCTGGGATTACAGGCATGAGCCTCCATGCCAGGTTAAAATGTCCAGTTTTTAACAACAACAACAAAAAAAAATTACGAGACATACCTAGAAACAAGAATTTACAGTCCAGAAGTAGAGAAAGAAAAGCAACCATCCCTAAGGGAGTCCAGACACTGTACTTATTAGACAGGACTTCATATTGGCTCTTTTAAATATGCTCAAAACTGAGGGAAAACAAGTCTAAACAAATCAAATATAAGAACAGTGTCTCAGGAAATAGGGAATATGCATAAAGAGACAAAATTATAGAAAAGAACCAGTCAGAAATTCTTATGTTATAAAGTACAGCAGGTGAAATAAATTTAACCAGAGGTGCTCCACAGCAGATTTGAGCAAGCAGAAGAAAGAGTCAACAAACTGAAAGATAGGTCAATTGAGATTATATAGTTTGTAGAATAAAACAAAAAAGAATGAAGAAAAATAAACAGAGCTACAAAGGTAACTGCATAAAGGGAAAGCCATACATCTGTGTCAATGGGCATACAATGTACAAAGGTGTAATTTGTATGTGAATAACAGTGTGAAAGAGGGGAAAGGGAATGGAGCTATATAGGAACAAAGATTTTTATACTCTTGAAGTTCAGTTTGTATTAATCAAAAACACAAATATAAAAGCTAATGCTATAAAACTCTTGAAAGAAAACATGGGCTGAATTGTGGTGACCTTGGATTAGACAATGGTGTCTTAGATATGACATCAAAATTAGAAGCAACCCATGAAAGGATAAATTGGGCATCATCAAAACTAATACTTTTGTGCATGAAGAACTTTATCAAAAAAGTGAAAAAAACCCCACATACTGGAAAAAAAATATTCACAAATAGTATATCTGATAAGGGTCAAGTAATCACAAATATAATAACTGTTACAAATTAACAGTAAAAAGACCAATGGTTCAATTCAAAAATGGGCAAAGAATCTGAATAAACACTTCTTCAAAGAAGACATACAAATGGTCAATAAGCATGTGAAAAGATATTCAATATTATTAGTTATTGGATAAATGAAAACCAAAACCACAATGAGATACCAGTCATATCCACGGGGATGGATATAAGCAAAAAGAGTCAATAGCAAGTGTCGGTGAGGATGTGGAGAAATTGGAACCCTCATACATGCCAATGCCAATGTAAAGTTAAAAAAAGTTACCTTACATCCAAGTAATTTCACTCCTTGGTGAATATCTAAAGAATAGGAAACATCTGACATTTAAAACTTGACTTGAATGTTGATAGCATAATTGCTTGTAATAGCCAAAAATGGAAACAACTCAAATGCCCATCAACTATTGAATGAATACACAAAATATGGCATATCACACAACAGAATATTATTCATCTACAGAAAAGGAATGAAGTACTGATACATGCAACAACATGGATGAACCTTGAAAACATTGTACAAAGTGAAATAAACTAGACCTAGAACGCTATATATTGTATGAATCCACTTGTATGAAATGTCCAGAATAGGCAGATCCATAAAGACAGAAAATAGGTTAGTGATTCCCAGCGGGTGGGGTGGGGAAAAGGGGAGCAAGAAATGGAGAGTGACTGCTGATGGACATGGAGTTTAATTTAGAGGTAATGTTGTACAACTTTGTGACTCTATAAAGTACACTGAATTGGGCACTTTAAAAGTGTGAATTGTATGGTATGTGAATTATGCCTCATCAAAAAGAAAATGTAACTTGCAGTATGGGACTTTATCAGTGACTAGGTCCAGGAAAGAGTTTTCACTAATAGATTCACTCACAGGAACAGATTCTTCATGAACACTCAACAAAATAGTGTCGAGATGGACAAATCTAGTTCAAATAGTTAATAACTGAGAAATTTTAATGGTACAATCATATTAATATGAAAATTGGGTATCCTGGGTTCTGTTTAGCTAACCATCATTAGGGCAAAGTAAACAGATTTCAGTTTTTACACTGATTTTTATTGATTTGAAGTGGCCACCTGGTTTACTGTGTGGAAAAGGATTCTGATGCTCATTTAGGCTTTACAGGGAATTGGTAATGATTGCCATGGGATCGTGCTTGCACATGTTTCATACCTTCCATGAGTTATTCTGTGACTTGAGACAAAGGTATTCAAAATAATTGGCAAAAGGAGGCTTAGATAGGTGTATTGAGTGATCTTTAAACATCATTTAGTTTTTAAAGTTTTGTGATTATATGATGTAATGATCCAATTGCCATATATTTAAAAATATAATATACACATTTTGTCTGAAAATATTTAAAAAAAATAAGCAATGGAAGTAGCAAGTGTGTATGGCCTGAAATATTTGAGCTGGAGGAGTATACACATAGCTGTGGTTGATAATCTTACCTTGTTCTTTTCTAAATACAGTGCTTCTCAGTGCTAGCATTTAATTATGCACTGTACTTGGATAAAAATGGACATTAGTATAAAGATTAGCTTTTATGATGGATATGTTTGGGTCCAAAATATGACTTAAATCTTTGCTACTGCAATTAGAAAACCAACAACCCACAGATGAATGCTCTTTTCTTATGGAAGTACATTGTGATATATTTGTTCTTGTAATACTTAAAAACAGATCTACATGCAAACAGAACAGATGTTAACACATAATAAGATAGATGTTTCATTCTTTTTTCTAAAATTTTATTATTATTATACTTTAAGTTTTAGGGTACATGTGCACAACATGCAGGTTTGTTACATATGTATACATGTGCCATGTTGGTGTGCTGCACCCATTAACTCATCATTTAGCACTAGGTATATCTCCTAATGCTATCCCTCCCCCCTCCCCCCACCCCACAACAGTCCCTGGTGTGTGATGTTCCCCTTCCTGTGTCCATGTGTTCTCACTGTTCAATTCCCACCTATGAGTGAGAACATGCGGTGTTTGGTTTTTTGTCCTTGTGATAGTTTGCTGAGAATGATGGTTTCCAGTTTCATCCATGTCCCTACAAAGGAAATGAACTCATCATTTTTTATGGCTGCATAGTATTCCACGGTGTATATGTGCCAATTTTCTTAATCCAGTCTATCATTGTTGGACATTTGTATTGGTTCCAAGTCTTTGCTATTGTGAATAGTGCCGCTATAAACATACGTGTGCATGTGTCTTTATAGCAGCATGATTTATAATCCTTTGGGTATACACCCAGTAATGGGATGGCTGGGTCAAATGGTATTTCTAGTTCTAGATCCCTGAGGAATCGCCACACTGACTTCCACAATGGTTGAACTAGTTTACAGTCCCACCAACAGTGTAAAAGTGTTCCTATTTCTCCACATCCTCTCCAGCACCTGTTGTTTCCTGACTTTTTAATGATCGCCATTCTAAATGGTGTGAGATGGTATCTCATTGTGGTTTTGATTTGCATTTCTCTGATGGGCAGTGATGATGAGCATTTTTTCATGTGTTTTTTGGCTGCATAAATGTCTTCCTTTGAGAAGTGTCTGTTTATATCCTTCACCCACGTTTTGATGGGGTTGTTTGTTTTTTTCTTGTAAATTCGTTTGAGTTCATTGTAGATTCTGGATATTAGCCCTTTGTCAGATAAGTAGGTTGCAATAATTCTCTCCCATTCTGTAGGTTGCCTGTTCACTCTGATGGTAGTTTCTTTTGCTGTGCAGAAGCTCTTTAGTTTAATTCGATCCCATTTGTCAATTTTGTCTTTTGTTGCCATTGCTTTTGGTGTTTTAGACATGAAGTCTTTGCCCATGCCTATGTCCTGAATGGTACTGCCTAGGTTTTCTTCTAGGGTTTTTATGGTTTTAGGTCTAACATTTAAGTCTTTTGTCCATCTTGAATTAATTTTTGTATAAGGTGTAAGGAAGAGATCCAGTTTCAGCTTTCTACATATGGCTAGCCAGTTTTGCCAGCACCATTTATTAAATAGGGAATCCTTTCCCCATTGATTGTTTTTCTCAGGTTTGTCAAAGATCAGATAGTTGTAGATATGCAGCATTATTTCTGAGGGCTCTGTTCTGTTCCATTGGTCTATATCTCTGTTTTGGTACCAGTACCATGCTGTTTTGGTTACTGTAGCCTTGTAGTATAGTTTGAAGTCAGGTAGCACGATGCCTCCAGCTTTGTTCTTTTGGCTTAGGATTGACTTGGCAATGTGGGCTCTTTTTTGGTTCCATATGAACCTTAAAGTAGTTTTTTCCAATTCTGTGAAGAAAGTCATTGGTAGCTTGATGGGGATGGCATTGAATCTATAAATTACCTTGGGCAGTATGGCCATTTTCACAATATTGATTCTTCCTACCCATGAGCCTGGAATGTTCTTCCATTTGTTTGTATCCTCTTTCATTTCATTGAGCAGTGGTTTGTAGTTCTCCTTGAAGAGGTCCTTCACAACCCTTGTAAGTTGGATTCCTAGGTATATTATTCTCTTTGAAGCAATTGTGAATGGGAGTTCACTCATGATTTGGCTCTCTGTTTGTCTGTTATTGGTGTATAAGAACGCTTGTGATTTCTGTACATTGATTTTGTATCCTGAGACTTTGCTGAAGTTGCTTATCAGCTTGAGGAGATTTTGGGCTGAGACAATGGGGTTTTCTAGATATACAATCATGTCATCTGCAAACAGGGACAATTTGACTTCCTCTTTTCCTAATTGAATACTCTTTATTTCCTTCTCCTGCCTGATTGCCCTGGCCAGAACTTCCAACACTATGTTGAATAGGAGTGGTGAGAGAGGGCATCCCTGTCTTGTGCCAGTTTTCAAAGGGAATGCTTCCAGTTTTTGCCCATTCAGTATGATATTGGCTGTGGGTTTGTCATAGATAGCTCTTATTATTTTGAGATACATCGCATCAGTACCTAATTTATTGAGAGTTTTTAGCATGAAGGGTTGTTGAATTTTGTCAAAGGCCTTTTCTGCATCTATTGAGATAATCATGTAGTTTTTGTCTTTGGTTCTGTTTATATGCTGGATTACATTTATTGATTTTCGTATGTTGAACCAGCCTTGCATCCCAGGGATGAAGCCCACTTGATCATGGTGGATAAGCTTTTTGATGTGCTGCTGGATTCGGTTTGCCAGTATTTTATTGAGGATTTTTGCATCAATGTTCATCAAGGATATTGGTCTAAAATTCTCTTTTTTGGTTGTGTCTCTGCCAGGCTTTGGTATCAGGATGGTGCTGGCTTCAAAAGATGAGTTAGGGAAGATTCCCTCTTTCTCTATTGATTGGAACAGTTTCAGAAGGAATGGTACCAGCTCCTCTTTGTACCTCTGGTAGAATTCGGCTGTGAATCCATTTGGTCCTGGACATTTTGGTTGGCAAGCTATTGATTACTGCCTCAATTTCAGAGCCTGTTATTGGTCTATTCAGAGATTCAACTTCTTCCTGGTTTAGTCTTGGAAGGATATATGTGTCGAGGAATTTATCCATTTCTTCTAGATTTTCTAGTTTATTTGCATAGAGGTGTTTATAGTATTCTCTGATGGTAGTTTCTATTTCTGTGAGATCAGTGGTGATATCCCCTTCATGATTTTTTATTGAGTCTATTTGATTCTTTTCTCTTTTCTTCTTTATTAGTCTTGCTAGTGGTCTATCAGTTTTGTTGATCTTTCCAAAAAACCAGCTCCTGGATTCATTAATTTTTTGAAGGGTTTTTTGTGTCTCTATTTCCTTCAGTTCTGCTCTGATTTTAGTTATTTCTTGCCTTCTGCTAGCTTTTGAATGTGTTTGCTCTTGCTTTTCTAGCTCTTTTAATTGTGATGTTAGGGTGTCAATTTTAGATCTTTCCTGCTTTCTCTTGTGGGCATTTAGTGCTATAAATTTCCCTCTACACACTGCTTTGAATATGTCCCAGAGATTCTGGTATGTTGTGCCTTTTTCGCATTGGTTTGAAAGAACATCTTTATTTCTGCCTTCATTTCATTATTTACACAGTAGTCATTCAGGAGCAGGTTGTTCAGTTTCCATGTAGTTGAGCGGTTTTGAGTGAGTTTCTTAATCCTGAGTTCTAGTTTGTTTGCGCCGTGGTCTGAGAGACAGTTTGTTATAATTTCTGTTCTTTTACATTTGCTGAGGAATGCTTTACTTCCAACTATGTGGTCAATTTTGGAATAGGTGTGGTGTGGTGCTGAAAAGAATGTATATTCTGTTGATTTGGGGTGGAGAGTTCTGTAGATGTCTATTAGGTCCGCTTGGTGCAGAGCTGAGTTCAATTCCTGGGTATCCTTGTTAACTTTCTGTCTCGTTGATCTGTCTAATGTTGACAGTGGGGTGTTAAAGTCTCCCATTATTATCGTATGGGAGTCTAAGTCTCTTTGTAGGTCACTCAGGACTTGCTTTATGAATCTGGGTGCTCCTGTATTGGATGTATATATATTTAGGATATTTAGCTCTTCTTGTTGAATTGATCCCTTTACCATTATGTAATGGCCTTTCTTTGTCTTTTTTGATCTTTGTTGGTTTAAAGTCTGTTTTATCAGAGACTAGGATTGCAACCCTTGCCTTTTTTTGTTTTCCATTTGCTTGGTAAATCTTCCTCCATCCCTTTATTTTGAGCCTATGTGTGTCTCTGCATGTGAGATGGGTTTCCTGAATACAGCACACTGATGGGTCCTGACTGTTTATCCAATTTGCCAGTCTGTGTCTTTTAATTGGAGCATTTAGTCCATTTACATTTAAAGTTAATATTGTTATGTGTGAATTTGATCCTGTCATGATGATGTTAGCTGGTTATTTTGCTCGTTAGTTGATGCATTTTCTTCCTAGTCTCGATGGTCTTTACATTTTGGCATGATTTTGCAGTGGCTGGTACCAGTTGTTCCTTTCCATGTGTAGTGCTTCCTTCAGGAGCTCTTTTCGGGCATGCCTGGTGGTGACAAAATCTCTCAGCATTTGCTTGTCTGTAAAGTATTTTATTTCTCCTTCACTTATGAAGCTTAGTTTGGCTGGATATGAAATTCTGGATTGAAAATTCTTTTCTTTAAGAATGTTGAATATTGGCCCCCACTCTCTTCTGGCTTGTAGAGTTTGTGCTGAGAGATCTGCTTTTAGTCTGATGGGCTTCCCTTTGTGGGTAACCCGACCTGTCTCTCTGGCTGCCATTATCATTTTTTCCTTCATTTCAATTTTGGTGAATCTGACAATTATGTGTCTTGGAGTTGCTCTTCTCGAGGAGTATCTTTATGACGTTCTCTGTATTTCCTGAATCTGAATGTTGGCCTGCCTTGCTAGATTGGGGAAGTTCTCCCGGATAATATCCTGCAGAGTGTTTTCCAACTTGGTTCCATTCTCCCCGTCATTTTCAGGTACACGAATCAGACATAGATTTGGTCTTTTCACATAGTCCCATATTTCTTGGAGGCTTTGTTCCTTTCTTTTTATTCTTTTTTCTCTGAACTTCTCTTCTTGCTTCATTTTATTCATTTCATCTTCCATCACTGATACCCTTTCTTCCAGTTGATTGCATCGGCTACTGAGGCTTCTGCATTTGTCACGTAGCTCTCATGCCTTGGTTTTCAGCTCCATCAGGTCCTTTAAGGAGTTTTCTGCATTGGTTATTCTAGTTATCCATTCATCTAATTTTTTTTCAAGCTTTTAACTTCTTTGCCATTGGTTTGAATTTCCTCCTGTAGCTCGGAGTAGTTTGATCGTCTGAAGCCTTCTTTTCTCAACTCATCAAAGTCATTCTCTGTCCAGCTTTGTTCCGTTGCTGGTGAGGAGCTGTGTTCCTTTGGCAGAGGAGAAGCGCTCTGATTTTTAGAGTTTCCAGTTTTTCTGCTCTGTTTTATTCCCATCTTTGTAGTTTTATCTACCTTTGGTCTTTGATGATGGTGGCGTACAGATGGGGTTTTGGTGTGGATGTCCTTTCTGTTTGTTAGTTTTCCTTCTAACAGACAGGACTCTCACCTGTAGGTCTGTTGGAGTTTGCTAGAGGTCCACTCCAGACCCTGTTTGCCTGGGTATCAGCAGCGGTGGCTGCAGAACAGCAGATATTGGTGAACCGCAGTTGCTGTTGCCTGATGGTTCCCCTGGAAGTTTTGTCTCAGAGGAGTACCCGGCCGTGTGAGGTGTCAGTCTGCCCCTACTGGGGGGTGC
This sequence comes from Homo sapiens, assembly GCF_000001405.40. Classification (NCBI taxonomy): domain Eukaryota; kingdom Metazoa; phylum Chordata; class Mammalia; order Primates; family Hominidae; genus Homo; species Homo sapiens. The sequence goes on along the minus strand of NC_000005.10, from coordinate 153,382,116 downwards.
CTCCCAGTTAGGCTACTCGGGGGTCAGGGACCCACTTGAGGAGGCAGTCTGCCTGTTCTCAGATCTCAAGCTGTGTGCTGGGAGAACCACTGCTCTCTTCAAAGCTGTCAGACAGGGACATTTAAGTCTGCAGAGGTTACTGCTGTCTTTTTGTTTGTCTGTGCCCTGCCCCCAGAGGTGGAGCATACAGAGGCAGGCAGGCCTCCTTGAGCTGTGGTGGGCTTCACCCAGTTTGAGCTTCCCGGCCGGCCACTTTGTTTACCTAATCAAACAACTAACTCAGCAATTGCGGGCACCCCTCCCCCAGCCTCGCTGCTGCCTTGCAGTTTGATCTCGGATTGCTGTGCTAGCAATGAGCGAGACTCAGTGGGCGTAGGACCCTCCGAGCCAGGTGTGGGATATAATCTCTTGGTGTGCCGTTTTTTAAGCCCGTTGGAAAAGCTCAGTATTAGGGTTGGAGTGACCTGATTTTCCAGGTGCCCTCTGTCGCCATTTTCTTTGACTAGGAAAGGGAATTCCCTGACCCCTTGCGCTTCCTGGGTGAGATGATGCCTCACCCTGCTTCGGCTCGTGCACGGTGCGCTGCACCCACTGTCCTGCACCTACTGTCTGGCACTCCCCAGTGAGATGAACCCGGTACCTCAGTTGGAAATGCAGAAATCACCATCTTTTGTGTCGCTCACGCTGTGAGCTGTAGACCGGAGCTGTTCCTGTTCGGCCATCTTCAGATATTTCATTCTTTAAAGAGGTCTCTATTTCCAGTCAAAATGTCCCACAAATCATTCCAACTTGATTGCTTTGCCAATCTCTTACTAGATAAACTATGATCAAGTCCATGAAATGCTTAGAATGATAACTTTCATATTCTCTTCTTCATTAACATATGGGATGGATGCTATTCAGATGGGTGACACACTCACATCAGGGTATCCTAGGGTATGCAAAAATTTCCATGGGGATAAATTTAAGTGTAAACTGTTTGCCCCAATTCAAGGATAATGACAATAATAATAGTGTCAATTGCTAATGTCCATGTAGCACTTAGTATATTTCAGATGCTATTGTGAGAATTTTGTATATGTTAATTCATTTAATTAATAAAATATTGATAAAATAGTATTATTGTTATAATTCCAAATTCTACAAGGCACAATTGAGACATAGGGAGATTAAATAACTTGCTTAATAGTATACATCTAATAAGTAGCAAATCAAAGTTTCAAATTTAGGCTGACTGTTCAGGTGACCATCTTTCTAACCATGAGGCTATACTGTCTTTGGGGATATGTACTAACAAAATGGCCATTATAAGGGTGACTAAAGGTCCAACTTGGTGTGTAAAAAAGGAAATATTTTATAAACCATAATAGCTTATCTATTTGAGATGAACTTCTCAAACTACCTTACAAAGGACTGTGATTCCAATGCATCACAACTTTGACTGAGAAGCCATGGCTTTAATCATTGACTTCTGTGTTTCCCTCTTAGAAGTTCAAGCACACATCTGACCAGTCTTTCTTCTTTGGTATGATATTCTCCACCTCCTATTGTCCCTTGTGTCAGTGAAACCTCTAACTTAAATAAGAATAGATTTTCTTATTACCACCAACCATGCTCATGACTATTCTATTTTATTCCAGAGATCTTATCCCTGACCACCTTACCCTATTTATGATACAGAATGCACTGACCTGACAACCAAAAAATCATCTCTGTTTATTTCGTGTGAATTCAAGCACAACAGGGTTATAACATCCAGCTAAGATGGCAGAAGTTATTTATGGTTTCTTCTGTCCATAGGTCACCTACATTTTAAAGTTACTTACTCCTCCCACACTCTCATAAGCCTCTGTCCAATATGCTTCTAGCCACAGAGGTGCACATATGATCTATTTGGGCATGATAAAGTGTTCCTGGTCACAGTGGTCTAAGGATAGGAATATGGTCTAAGTTAGACAAGTTGCAATTCTTTCCTGAGATTCTTTAAGACAGAACTGTCTGGTAGGGGAGAACTTTGGTCTCTGGTTACACAGCTCTGACTATGAAAGCTACATTAAAAAATTACAATTTTCTGGGGACAACAGATTTGAGAATAAAGCAAAAGCTAGGTTAGAAAAAAGTAGAAAAAAGAGACAGAGAGGTCACGTGTCATTTAAGTCCCTGGTTTCAGCTGTCTCTAAGGCCAGATCATCTTCTTTTCTGAAAATTTGATTACATGAGACAATACATCTCCCACTTTTTTGCATATACTGGCTGAATTTGGTTTCTGTTACTTTCAACAAAGAGATTTAACTTGTACAGACTGACACTAAAAAGGCTATTCACATATAAGAATGGTTTCAAGATAGAGCAATAAAGTAGAAAACTAAACCACATGAAGTAAGAAAGAAAAGGTGAGTATTTATCCAACTACAAGATTGGAAGTAGCTGTCTTTAAATAACAAAAAGGCTAAGTACTAGATATCCATGCTGTGTAACATGTTATTCCAAAACTCAGTGGCTTAAAACAATCAAGATGTAGTATCTTACACAGTTTCTGAATGCCGAAAACCTGAGAGCAGCATAGCTAGGTGTTTCTGGCTCAGGGTCTCTCATGAAGTTGCAGTCAAATTGCTGGCTGCAGCTGCTGTCCTCTGAAGGCTTGGCTGGCACTTCCAAAATAGCGTACTCATGTGGCTGTTGGCAGGAGGACTCAGTTCTTAATCATGTAGACCTCTCCACAGGGCTTCCTGAGTGTCTTCACGACATGGCAGTCAGTTTCCCCCAGAGTGTGTAATCCAAGAGAAGAAGATGGAAACTGCAATGACATTTATGACCTAGTCTTGGAAGCCTTATTCTGTCATTTCCATAAAATTCTATTGGACACATAAGTCAGCCTTATCCACTGCAAGAGAAAACTCTACAAGGGCACAAATATTAGGAGTCAGGGGTCATTGGGGGCCATCTTGGGGGCTGGCTCCTACAGGCTTTCCTCTAAAAAAGACTTTAAATATGTATTGTATAGACTCAGAAGGGAAGTTAGCCACCAGTGGAAGATTCCAGTAGATTCTGATTCCACATAAACAAAATCAGAATCATATAGGGATGACTCTGCAGAAAAAAAAACAAATAAACCTATATCTGCATGTGATGTGCTGTGCTTCATAACACTGATAAGAATAGCAGAGATCACTATTTTAAGTGATATTATGGAGGTTATCTTTGCTTAAGTTGTAGAAAAAGGGTTGTGACATCAGATGACTTCTGAGTTCCCTTTTATTCCTAAAATGTTCTGATCCAACAATATTTTAGTCCACAGATACAACCTTCTTAACTCCTAAAATACCTTTTAGCAGATGTTGTGAAACCCTGTCCATATGCCCTTGGCCTACCCTGGGAATTACAGGTAGGCTATTTCCATATCTACCTGAGGTTCTTTTATGGCCAAGGAAAACCTTCAACTGATGAGAGGCAGAAGTCAGAAGATAAGGGACCTACCTTCTTTGCTTCTCTGGTGGGATAACTCTGAGCCATGAGGTCCCTACAGTGATATCCCTCTAATTAACATGTCAATTACTGATGTGTTCCTTCCCTGTCTCACTCTCCCCTTTCTCATAGTGCTCCCGAAGTGTCATCACCAGCAGATTGAACTACTTATATCCAACTGCTTCTCTCATGTCTCTTTTTGGAAGAACTCAAACTAAGATACTCTTCTATTCAAAATTTTTCAACTGAGTACTCTATCATATCATTCTGGCTATTAAGATGTAATACTAAGATGTAATTAAGTTGTAAGTACACTCAATATATAAATCTCTTACTCTTGAGCAACACATTTTATGATTTTTTGTTTTTTCACACCCTAGTTATAGGCTCTAGATCAAAGGTAGCCAGAGAAGAAATCCCATCAATGTTGGTAGCTTAGAAGCAGCATGCTAGTGCGGGACTCAGAATGGGAAGACTTGGTGTCCAGCAGCTCCTCTTCTCTCTAGCCAAACGATCCCACATGATCACTTGACTACGCTGTCCTCACCTATATGCTCACATATAAAATAACTGTTGATATAAATCAGTAGCCCTTAAACATTTTGAATCCTTGAAAACCATTGATGAACATTTTCTACCCTCTTCCCTAGAAAACATAATAAAACCAATGTTTAAAAATGAACATAAATGGGCCGGGCGCGGTGGCTCACGCCTGTAATCCCAGCACTTTGGGAGGACGAGGCGGGCGGATCACGAGGTCAGGAGATCGAGACCATCCCGGCTAAAACGGTGAAACCCTGTCTCTACTAAAAATACAAAAAAAAATTAGCCGGGGTTAGTGGCGGGCGCCTGTAGTCCCAGCTACTTGGGAGGCTGAGGCAGGAGAATGGCGTGAACCCGGGAGGCGGAGCTTGCAGTGAGCCGAGATCCCACCACTGCACTCCAGCCTGGGCGACAGAGCAAGACTCCGTCGCAAAAAAAAAAAAAAAAAAAATGAACATAAATGAATCTGCATAACCTCTGGCTGTTAAGAGGCCACTGAAGCCTATCCATGACCTCTAGGTAGAGCTCTGTGGACCCCAGGTTATAATCTCCTGGTCTAAATGCTCTTTTCTTTTTTTAACCTCCTTATAAATTTCAACACTTTTTGATTTAATGAGTAATTGATTTAAAAAAATAATTTCTTCTAGACTGAGATTTCTCCATAATGCAAACTTATGGATAAAATTCAGCTGCTTTATTAAATCTGACATTGAATTCAACATCCAATTTATTGGAAATTCATGCTTATTCTCCCAGGCAGTGTAGTTTCCCTGGAAAAAATAGGAAGCCAACCACTGTTGACTTGCTTGAAACTCTTGCTTGAAACACAAGCAAGAGTACCTCGCAGGCCAAATTCAAAAAGCACATTATTTCCTAAAACAAACTTTTTAATTTGGCTAAACTGTTCAGAAAGTCAAGGAATTCAATCCCACTCCCAGAAGTAGCATATCTCTGGAAATTGCTGAAGTCTTTTCTCTGCTACCACACACACACACACACACACACACACACACACCCCTTACGGGGTACAATAGTACAGGAGGGAAGGATGTTTTAGGCCTTATGAGACACCGCATTTCAAGTACCACATGGGTTTCCACAATCTTCTTGTTGACTATTGCAAAATGAGCATATCTGAGTTGCAAGATTTATTGTAAATCAGTCTCTCAAAGAAGTAAAACCAAATCCTCAGAGGATTCTCTGGACAACTTAATATCACAACTAAAAAATGCAAGCCATTTTTTCTTTCATTATTATTTAGGCTACTTCTCTGTAGTGCTCACAGAAAAAACATTAATTCAGATTCTTATGAAACTAACCTGCAAAGATGTACTCAACAACATAGTATACAACTAAGGTAACTTAAAAGGAACCCGTAGACAATAAAGATAGAACTAGAACAATAGTGGGCATGGGCAGTTTTGGACCACAGAGCCCTGCCTCAAGCACAGAAAAATATAGGCTCAAATATGGAATCAGCAGACTTCCTCTACTAGAAGAATCCTAGGTAAAACGGTGTGGGGGGATCTTAGCATGAGGCTAATGTAATAATTATCTGTTTATGAGATTTTATGTGAGGCTTTTCAGTTGAACCAAAAACTACCTTGTAATGTCTATTGTCCTGCACCCCTCCACCTGGGGTTTCCTGCTTCCCTGTTTCTGCTCACATAGCATTTTCTACCTCTCAATTTATTACTTATCCCACATGTAGTTAAAGGTCCATTTACCCAAACATCTTCTTTAGACTGTGAATGGCAGAATCAGTGATCACAGTTGTTAACAACCTCCTCTTCACCCCATTGGTGAGGGGATGATTCCCACCCTATGGTTATAGGGATGGCCAACAGGATGCCTCACACTGGAGAGATAAGATTGACAGTAGCCACACATATTCTCAGCCTGGGGAAGGGGGACACTCTATGATTTAAAGTCCCGGTTACTCTAGACCACTGCTCTAGGGGTTGCATTAGAACAAAGTGAACAATCAGGAAACTGACACTCCCCAATCACTAAGTGGGAATGTTGCGAAGTCCTCTTATTGAGGAGGGTTGTATGGCTAGGAGGAGAATGGGAGGGGAACTTGTGGTTAGGCCATTTGAGGCTTTCCCAATTTTACCAGATGTCAAGGCAGCCCATAATGTTGAACATTAATTTCAGGCCTCACACCATACTTGTCTTTCTTCAGGTTCTTCAAAAGAAATTCTGGTTGGGACCCAATAAGCAGCTAAGCATAGTATGTACCTCAGTGTTCATAGAACAAAAGGAGTAAATGTAACTGGTGATGACAATAATAATGATGATGACGATGATAGCAGCAACAACACTATATTATGAATCACTATCACCACCATTTGTATAGGACTCAACATGTCCAGTCACTGGGCTCTTCTCTTAGCACTCCTTGTCTTATTTAATCCTTCCTGACAAACTCCTGGATGTAGGTATAGGCATTATGAGCCTGATTTTACAGGTAAGAAAATTAACAAAATTGAGGCTTAGAGAAGTTTTATCATCACCTTGTGGAAAATGCACAGAATTGCTGGGGCTTCTAATGCCCTCCTCATGGTGAACCTGAGGGAGGCCTTGCTACAGCTCAGCCACTAAGCTCTGGAAGAGGCTGAGACAGGGGATGGTATTGGGAGATGGAGCAATGGAATCAGCAGCTGGAATTTTGTAAGTGGTGCAATGATGTGAGCCTCAATGGATTCTCTTCAGCTAGGAGTTAGAGCAAGCAGTTGATGGTCTGAAACAACTTGGGATAGTGCATAAACTGGGTCTGGTATATGCTGTGAAGAAGCCTGAGAAGGATTGGTAAGACAAGTGGAAGAAAACAAATTATGTCAAAGATGGAAAGAAAACAGCCTGTTTCAAAAATGGATCATTGATGTCAAATGTTTTTTTCAAATCCAATAAAATAAAAGCTGCAAAAAAATGCACAGAAGGACGATTTGAACCTGGGCTCTTGATAAAGAGCTCAGAGGCCTGTTATGCCATCACCAATTATTCTTTGCTAGCACTTTGGACAGTACATGAGTAAGAAGGCTATGATTTCCACTCACCCAGCAGCACTTGGGCATGGACATCTACAGATGAGGCTAAATATGAACATGGACCAAATAGGAAATGGGGCCAGAGAAGTCTCTCTGTGTCCAAATATCTGGAATGTAACTGATGGCATGGGATAAAGTGGGCAGGAAGTATATTTTAGCTGATCTAAGGAAGCCAGTAGTCAGGATAATATCGACCACACACATGGGTATCGAAGAGGAGGCCAAGGCCCTAGGCAAGACAAAAAAAAATCTGAAATAATAATACTAATAAAAATAATAACATAGAAAGCAAAAAGCCAGGAAACTTGAATCTAGGTAAATTTTCTGCGTTTTAATGGTCAGGAACAAATCTCAGCATAGCTCAACTAAGTCCTGCAGGTGGAATCAGGTGATTTATTATATGGTTGGGGTGGTGAACAGAGATAGCCAGTGAAGACAGGCAGATCCAGGAGAGCACAGCCTGGTAATATCTCTAGATCACTATTGCACATAAAAACATGATCCCCAACACTCACCATGGAATCATCTGAGATCCTGTTAGAAATACAGAGTTCTTCCTGGTCCCATTATCAATCTGATAAATCAGATTCTCTTGGAGTAATGCAGGGATGGAAATCTAGTTGCAAAGAATCAATATTTTACTAAAATCCTCAGATGATTTTTTTGTACACTGAATTTTGAAAGCCACTGGCCCTAGATACATTTTGGAGGCAGAAAATTGAGGTTAGGTGAACAGGTTCTTCCAGCTACTGCCCTGCAAAAGTAGAATTAGATGTTCAACTCTATTCAATGAGTAACCATTGCAGCTTTGTTGTTCTTCACAACTATGCCTTTTCTACCTCATCCTTCAGTCTACTCCCTCCCTTCTCTCTCTTTCTCTTTCTTTCCTCTTTCTCTCTCTGTCAGAATTCTTCATAGCTTCCCTTCTTTTTTCTTCTTCCTTTCTCTTCATTTCTCTAGACATTTATTAGCATCTCTGTGCCAGACATTGTACAACTAATATGGGGGATATAAAGATGTCATGAACTTTTTCTGTATTTTAGGAGCTTAGATCTACATGTGGAGATAGTACTAGGAAACAGACAGCTAGAATTCAAGGTGAACTATTCCCAGAGCTCTAAGAGAAATGCGTGTAAAACATTTTGAGCATTTAGAGAATAAAAGAATTCCATCTGACTGGAACAAGATAAGGGTGAAATCAAGGAAGGCTTCCTGGAAAATAGGCACTTGATTAATTCCTTAAGTATAAGCAGAATGTGGATATGGGGAAAGAACATTCAGAGTGGAAGAAACAACATAAACAAAGGCAGAAAATGTGGAGATTGAGGACCACGTGGGATCAAATCTGTTTGGCTCTAGTAGCAATATTTAAGGAGAGTAATGGGCCTAGGATGAAGAAGGTTGACACTCCCAAGAACTCACTTGGATACAAGTAGAATCTGTTTCATTTGTTGGCCTAAAATGTCCTAGAGTTTTGTTCAATAATATTCCACTGAGAAGAAAAATATAGAAAAGCTGTCCAATATTTATTAATCTGAGGTGGAAAGATTGTGCTGTACTGAGTTTTAGCAAATTTTAAAAAATGGTTTGAGGAAAGAATAGCAATGACATTTACATTAGTTGTAGCTAATGTGCATTGATTGGATTAAAATATGACATTATGAATTAAAAAAAAGCCTCTGTTGGAAAATGAAATGCCATTGCTTTCAGAGAGGGGGCGGGAAATGTAACAAGCAGCCTAGATTCTGTTTTGCCTGAATGCTCTGGATTTAGTGGGGGTAGGGTCATTGATTTAAGCTCTTTCCCTGAAAATGCATTAATAAAATACAGTTTTAAAGTTAAATAGAACCCATCCAGGACTTTTTTTCCCAACGATGATTATTTGTATGTGCATAATGCATACATCTGCGATGCCGACCTCAATTAATTTTTAAAAGTACAGTTTCTATGTAAGATAATTTATCTATTGCATTGCACAATTGAAAAATGTCTGCCTGTTTGTACAAGGAACTGCGTACTGTGAATCAATGCAGGTAATAAATTACAATCACTGTCACTTTCAACGCCACAAGGCTTTTTCCCAACCTATGCGAGGGATGCAGGTGCACTGAATGGCTCTGTCTTGGGGCTGGTGGTTGGCTAGCTAAAAACCCACAGGTTTACAGAGGGCTAAGAGTTCTTTCTGCTGGGCTCAAGATACTGTGGGCAGTTGCTGAATTCTGGGTTTCTATCTCCAAATGAAAAAAGAAATCTCTGATCATAAAAATCCTGCTATCAGGTGAAAAATACACATGCTTTCTACACTAGGTAAACATTTTCCTGAGCTAGAGACTCAGATAAACATAAACGTTAAAAAAGAAACCTGCTTGAATGTTTTTTCTCTGCCTAATTATGTAAATATGTATTACTCACTCCCTTTTTTCTTCCCAGTTGCTGGCAGCTTGTACACTTGAGAAGGTATGTTTTATTCAGGAGAACAAAACAGGCAGGGACCTGAGACTTTGGTGAATAATAAATTGATTTTGACTTGGCCTTTTAGCTCATTATGAATCTTTAAAATGGTGAAATGTGCTTCTTTTCCCTCTTTGCTGAACTCCCCAGTCGCATGCTAGGATGAAGGGTTTGGAGTCACGGAGTCACGGGGTTTAATATCCAAAAGGGAAAGCTCAGATTGAAAGGCGATCTTGAGAATGTATTCAAAGGTTGCAGTTGTTGTGCTTCTGTCTATCAGCCATCCATCCATCCATCCATCCATCCATCCATCCATCCATCCATCCATCTGTATATCTGTCCATTCATACTTCCTTTGTAATGGTTAAGATTATGAGCTTTGGATCCAGCCAGCCACCCAAAATTCAAATCCTGGCTTTGTCGTTTAAGATTGGTGTGATCTTGGGCAGTTGCTTAACCCCCTTAAGACTTTGTGTTCTCATCAGTAAAATGTGTAAAATTGATATCTACTTTTCAAGTTGTGAGGAATAAATTAGATATATTTGTAAAGAGCTTAAACTTTGTGCAGTAACTGGCACCAATAAATTTTCAATAAATGGTTGTTATTATTAACCCAATTGATGTTTATTAACAATCTACTCTGTGCCACATAGTAGGCTGAATGTACTGTGATACAGAGTTTTCATTCATTAGCTTTATAGTTTAATATAGTGGATAAGATATTCATGCCTGTGACTTCAGAGTAAGGTTGGAAATGATGAGGATGAAAAAAAATGATCAAATAAGGGCCCTGTTAGTTCAGAAAGGCTAGACCTTATTCTGGTTGTGGAGAAATGGTGAGGCTCTGTGGAAAGGATGTTACTGGAGCTAGAGTTAAAGGATATGTAGGCTTTATAATGGAAGAGTTTAGCAGGCAAAGGATTGCAGTAAGCATTCGGCTTATTATAAATCTGCTACTCTAGTGGAACTTCACAAATGCTTTTTTCCCTTAATCCTCACTACAGTTTGTGCCATGATTGAGTGTACTATGATGATTGGTATTATTATACTACCTTGCTGCAACTTAGACAGACTGAATAAAACACCTGAGGTTACACAAATGGGTTTAAACCTAGTTACCTTCTCGGTTATATAAGGATGGCAAAAGCACCTATCTTAAAGATGTCTGGGTTGATTAAATGAGGAAATACTCCAGAACACCTAGTGTGATGTAAACACACAATAAATAGTAGCTAGAATATTGTTTGGGGAATGAAAATAATGATAATTATAAGCTGATACGGATGTGGTGAGGTCACAAACCTGTTTGAGTTTTGTCTGATCTTGAGCCCTGTATTCTCTCTGTGGGCTTTGAAAATTAAGAAAATTATGAAGTGATTTGTTGAGGGGATGTTTACACAAATGGTGGAGGCACTACTCCTTATTATAGGGGTTGCCTATTATGTCCCAGGATAGAACATGGCCTTTAGTTCTAGTCTGGGCAAAGGTCTTTTATAGAAACTCAAAATCTGAGCAATAGGAAATGGCTCACAGATTGTCCAACCTTATCATTTTCAGATAGGAATTTGAGATTCAGAGTGGTTAAGTCATTTGCCTAAGTTCACACAGCTGGTTAGAACAGACCTTGGTTGAGAACCATGTCCTTGAGTCTTAGACCTATAGAGAGACTTCTCCTAAGTTATAAAATCTTAGGGTCATTGGAAGTGTAGCTCAATCTTAATCTTCCCTCCCAACTGGATTGAGGATTGGACAGTGTTGTTAAATAGAACAATCCACAAATGTAAGCCACATAGGTAATTTAAAATTTTTCAGTAGCCACCTTTATAAAAGTATAAATAGCAGGTAAAATTAATTTTAGTAATATTATATAAAATATATATATATTTGAGACAGATATTATATATAAATTTATATACATAATATATATTTTGAGTATATATATAATATATATTTTGAGTATATATACACACACACACACACACACACACACACACACACACATGTATTTGTTACATCTTGTCACCCAGGATGGAGTGCAATAGTGCCATCTTAGCTAACTGCAACTTCCATCTCCTGGGCTCAAGCGATCCTCCCACCTCAGCCTCCTGGGTAGCTGGGACTACAGGGGCCTACCACCGTGCCCAGCTAATTTATGTGTTGTTGTTGTTTTTTTGGGTAGATATGGGGTATTGCCATGTTGTACAGGCTGTAATAATATGTGTTAATTAGCCCAATATATCTAAAATATTGTCAATATAAATTATTAATGAGATTAATTAGATATTTTACATTTTTTTCATGCTAAGTCTTCAAAATCTGCTGTCTTATTCCATTTTGTGCTGTTTTAACAATAGTTTACCTGAGACTGGGTAATTTATGATGAACCAACATTTATTGGTTCACAATTCTGGAGGCTGGGAAATCCAAGATCAAGGAGCCAGCATATGGCAAGAGCCTTCTTGCTATGTTATCTTATAGTGGGAGGGCCAAGAGAGGGCAAGAGAAGGCAAGAGGGGGCCAAACTTGTCCTTTGATAAGGAACTCACTCCAGCATGAATGGCAGGCATCCATTTATAAGGGTGGTATCCCCATAACCCAAATACCTCCCATTGGCCCTCACTTCCTAACATCACAGCATTGAAAATCAAGTTTCCAACACATTCTAGCATGAACTTTAAACGACATTGAAACCATAGCACCTGGTATGTATTTTGCACTTACAGTAGATCTAAATTTGGACTAGCCACATTTCAAGTGCTCATTAGCCATACATGGTTATTTTACTGAACAGGACCATATCTAACCCATCCTTAGACATTCAGTGACCCACATGGTGGGTTTTCAATCTATACACAAATTTGTTCTTTAGAGTTTTTTCTTATTAACCCATAATTTTATCCCCTATCACATATTCACATTTTGGCCAATTTCACCACTTTGTATCGCACTGGACAATGCTTGTTTCTCTTCTGTGGCCCAGCCCCTAAGAGGGTGCTGATGTCTGTGTGAATCATGTTACCTGAACATCCTTAGTCATTTCTCAAAAACAGGGCTTTGGATCCCTTCTTCGTTCGAGACTCTCCTCTCCATATGCTCTGTTTTTGTTGTCTCCCAGGCACAAATAAACCTGACATTCCAAGGCAGGCCTGGCCAATACAGATAGGTCTACCATCTTTTCAATGTAAATATTCTATTTTTTCTAATGCACATTTAAAAGAATTAAATTTTCTGTTGTCAGCCTCATTACATTGTTTATTTGACATTTATTGCCTATTAAATCTCTCTTAGTGTATTCACATGAGATACTTCTAAGCTCCATATCTCCCACCCTGTATTTATGCCATTGGTATTTGGACATCAGTGTAGGACTTTACATTTATTTGTTTCATTTCATCAATCTATATTCAGTTCACAACTCTAACATATTAAGATATGAGGATGCTGCTCCTGTCATTCTATGAATTCCTTATCCTTTTCTGCTTGGCATTCTTCAGTGTGATAAGAACACCTTCTATAGGATCATTCAAGGAATTAATATGCTGTTTGGGGCAGGATCTGGTCCAAGAAGTTTATTTTTATGGCTTCTATCTTTATACTTCTTTCCATTTCACTCTTTTCTATCCTTGGTTCCCAGTCTATTCTCTAATGAGTGACAGAATTAAAACCAGGATAGTTGAGCCAGGGTTATGCATCAAAAGCCACATGAATAATTCCATTGGTTAGTGCTTAACCATTGAAAATCTTGGTCTCACAGTTTCTTTACTTCTTCCTATCCATTAAAATTTACCTTCCCTCCCGCTCAGCATCACACTCCTACCATATCTGCCCTTCTTCCAACTCTGATATTTTAAGTACTAAAGAACTGCTCTCCAACCAAAACCTCCCATTATTCTAGATCACTGGGTCCTTCTTCAAGTTCAGTAATATGTTTGGGCTTGAGCCTTTCTGTTTATAAAGAATACATGGGAAATTTAAAACATTTATAAAAGCAGGAAATAGTATAATAAACCATGTGCACCTGTAATATTTACTCAGAGTGAACCTTGTTTCATCTTACCTCCAAACATTCTCTCTTCTATTATTTGGGAAAAAATCTAGTGATATGGTTTGGCTGTGTCCCCACCCAAATCTCATCTTGTAGTTCCCATAATCCTCATGTGTCATGGGAGGGACCCAGTGGGAGGTAATTGAATCATGGGAGTGGTATTTTCCCATGCTGTTCTCATGGTAGTGAATCATGAGATCCGATGGTTTTATAAAAGGCAGTTCCCCTGCATAATTTCTCTTGCCTGCTGCCATGTAAGATGTGACTTTTCTTTTCCTTTGCCTTCTGCCATAATTGTGAGGCCTCCTCAGTCATGTGGAACTGTGAGTCCATTAAACCTCTTTTTCTTTATAAATAACCCAGTCTTGCATATGTCCTTATAGCAACATGAGAACAGACTAATACATCTAGACACCATGTTAAGTTATGCTTAAGTATTTTTAAATATATTTATAAGGCATAAGGACTTTTATAAAACGTAACCACAACACCACACCTTTCATAGTAATTATCCATATTATCAAACATCCTGGGCTGTTTTTTACATGTCCAGCCAAATATCTGAGAGTAGGCTATGCTATGAAGGATATTCCTTTGACCAGATGACATGAGAGACTTTCCACTACTTAAGTAGAACAGCATAATTTAAAAGTCTAGAAGTCTATAGCTGTTTTGAAATGTATTGCCTTGGCCATTTATCTATGGAACTTGAAAGAAGAAGGCAAGGGGGAGTGGCAAAAGAAAGATATTTAAAAGTTTCATTTGTTCCTTTGGGAATGCCCAGTGTGTTCTATTAGCGAAGTGTGTTTTAGCCGTAGAAATTTACAAACTCTCCTTGGACTGACTCCTGGAAAATGTACATGTGAAGTGATAGCTTTTTGTGAAATCTTTCCCAAGCATCTCATATTTTCCCAGCAGGAATAGAAATGTGTAGTTACTTACCAAGAAGAGCAATTTGCCTCAGGCTGTCCAACAGCTGAATTAGTGTATCCGGAAAGAAAAGAGTGAGGGGGCAAAGATCCATTTGGAAATAACTTTCTTGGATAATTATACCCTATGTGACCATGGAGTTGAGTGCAATCACAGATGTTTCATCTTCTTTTTTTCTTTTTAAATTTTCCTCTGCTGTTCCCCAGGCAGGCAGCAATGTGAATTGAAATTAGCTCCTCAGTACAGTTTACCACTGGCCATTAGGACACAGCATTAGTTCTGTTAAGTCACTTTTGCCAGAAATAGTATGAGTCAAGGTGTCTACAAACTTGTAACAATTTTATAAGTCACTGAGTCCATAATTTACTAGTGACATCTGGAAGGGAAGAAAGTCTATTTAGTGTCATTCGTGCACAGATGGACCGGAGGCATACTTTCCAACTTGCTCAAATCTCTCATCTACCTCAGAAAACCATCTTATATAACCCCAGTTAGAATTAATCCCTCCTCCTCCATTCTCTCATTATATGTGGTTCCTCTATTATAACGGTTGTAATAGTCTACCTTGAATTACTTTATGAATCTCTTCCACTTATGCGTCTGTAAAACAGGGACTCTGTCTTACTCATCCATGCACCTGTGCCCTGCACATAATAAACATTAACATTTGTTAAAATGACATTCAGAAATGTGTATTTGATGATATACAAGAGGTAAAATTAGCAGACAAATCCCAAATATAGAGGCTTTGAAAATTCAATTCAATAAGCATTTGTTGATATCTATGATAAAAAATAAAAAATAGTAAAATTTATTGAGCATTTACTATGTGTCCAATAATGTGTTAAGAACTTGGCATGTCATCATATTGAACTCTCGGAATAACTCGATGAGATAGGAACTACAATTATCTCCACTTCACAGAGCAGGAAATGGAGGTGAGGCAAATTAAGCACATTTGCAGCTGAAGTGGGAGGGGTGGTATTTGACCATTGGCCTCCTGAAATCGAGAGACAATGTCACAACCCTGTTCCACTGGGTCCTTTGCTATCTCTCTTAGTTTTAGACATGAGATAAAATGACACATATAAATCCTGTCTGTGCCAGTCTGTTAGAATACAGTTTATACATGATTGTTCAGTTTCCCATGATCAGCCCATGCCAGCTATCACAGACAAAATGATAAGAACATTCTTGAATTTAAAAACGAAGAGATCTTAGGAAGAATCCAGTCTAAGTTCCTTTTCTACATATATAGAATTGAAGGTGAAACCGTTGCACTCAGATTAAGCCAAAACTCTTAAGGGTTTGCAATACTCATGGGCCCTCTTTACCCCCTTCTTATCTCTTTGCTCACTGCAAGCTAGCTACACTGGCCTCCTCACATTTCTTAGACAAAAATCCCTTCAGGGTCTTGATATGTGCTTTGATGCTCTTCACCCAAATATCCACTGGCCGGCCCCTCCCTTCTTTGAAGTCTTGGCTCAGATTTCATTTCCTCAATGAGAATATATAAGGCTGTAACCTGACCTGCTGGACCCCAGCATTCTCTTCCCTTTACCTTGCTCAAGTGAGTGTCTTTAATTTGCTCTATAGTACTCATCACCTCTTAACATCCTACATAATTTACTTTATAATGTTCATTGTTTTTGGTCAGTTTTTTCTACCAATAATACATTTGTAAGTTTCACAAAGGCAAGAGTTTTTGTTTCTTTTTGCCTCTAATATATTTCCAAGTGCTGAGAATAGTATCAGGGTGTCAAACAATAGCTGGTGAATGAATGGCCCATATCAGGCTGTATAGCTAGTCAGTGCCAGAATCTGAACTAGAACCTAGGTAGATTCCCAGTCTAGCATTCTTTCCATTTCACCCTGCTGAAGATTGAGGTGGCAGAGATAACCCAGCAGAGCACCACTCAAGACCAGAAACTGAATCACAGAGAAGAATAACCACATACTTCCTCTTTTAGCCTTTAGAGAGAAAAAGTTGGAAAGCCTGAGATATCAGTGGAAGGAGAATGGAGATTTCAGTAGAAAAGGAAAGGTAACATGTGTTGAGAACTGACTATCAGTAAAGGCTATGCAATGCCCTTCATATATTTATTTGATCAAATTCTACAAAACATTATTCAAATTCTATAGATGAGGAAACTGAGCCTCAGAGAATTAGATAACTCTTCTCAGGCCACAGTGTTAATATTTAGATTCAAACACAACGGAGTCTATTAAGTATCTCGAGCCCCTGACATTTCTGTATACCCAGTGCTATTGGTTTAACATCCTAAATGGGGGTAGAGGTTTTTTTTTTAATGTCTACTAGTTAAGATATAGCAACAAATATTTAGGGCAGGCATCTAAGCAAAAAGAGGTGTTTTTATATTCATTTAATGTGCAATGAATCTTTGAGTTCCCAAGATATTCAAAAGGCTGTGCCAGGAAGCTATATGTAAGCTATCCATCAATCAAATATTTATGAGTACGTAGTATGTGCCAGGCTAGGGATTGAGGAAATTAATAAAACATGATGCCTACTTACAAATATTTCATAGGCAGGGTCAGCTTCTCAATGATAAAGGGATAAAATGAAACATAATGAAAAGTCTCTGTTGAATTAAGGGAGGCATGAATCATCAAGTCTGTTTTGTAGGTGGGAAGACAGACTTAGGCCAAGGTCTAGGATACAGCACCTCAGATTTGTAGCCTGGAGTATTTTTTACTATAGCAAAATCCGAAAACATGTCAATAAGGCCATCCAGCTGGTCTTAGGTTGATCTCCATGAAGAGCCGCTTAATTGCCCTTTGCTGGTTTTAGCCTGCCCCACCTGTTCCCCAACCCTCATCCTGAGTTTTTCTACAAGCATATTCCTGGTGCTTAGGGAGGGTCAGGAAAATGTGTAGCCGTTTCACTGGGTTGTGTATCTGCTCGTGGGAAAGATTCAGATAATGGTGATAAGTCAGTAATTGTATCTGGGATCTTGAACCAATCTACACCCCTTCAAGTTTTCTCAGTGAATTGCCTGTTTGTCTAATTCCTACTCAGTCTTTCAGATCCAGCTCAAACAGCACCTCCTCTGTGAGGCCCTCCCTGGGTCTCCTATTAATTTAATGGCATTTAATAGCCAGCCTTTTCTGTTTCGAAAGAAACCAATTCATACATCCAGTAGAGCAGCTGTCACATTGCATTGTATAATTACCTGCACCCTCCCAGCCTGGCTATTCTATTTGCAAATGGACTGATAGAATCATATAAGCAGAAAGGGGTATTAACTCATCTCTCATTCTCACTATTTCAGGTCTCCCAGCTGCCTGCAAAATTCTTCTTCAGTCTTGAAAACCCCATTGGGGTGGTGCATTTTCCTTGTACTCATGAATGAGTTCAGTTAGGTTTCACCTGAGAGGTGCCATCCGCTTACTCTGTGGCTCTGCCCTGCTTTGGTCATCTCGCTTGGGGTCCACACTTTCTGTGATACTATGTGAAGCTATTTCCCCTCTGACTGTAGAGGCTTGTTGCGGGTTGGGTTGTCTGGGAAGTAGATGATGAGACGAAGTTGGAGGTGTCAGAGGTTCATTGGGAGTAAGACTGTGAAAAAGGACAGATACAGGAGAGGGCAGGAAGAGATACTAGGCTGTGATGCTGACCTGATGACAGTTTCTGTCAGTCCAAAGGGGAATTTGGGAGCAAAGATTGCCTATCAGAGGAGTCACATTGTTCAGAAATGGCCAGGCTTGTACCATTATTGCTCAGTCATTGGCTGGGGGCCACCCCAAGAAGAGCATAACCTTAGTTTGAAAACGGGAGCAGACCCTTATGGCTTTTGACACACTACGTTCCTCAGAGCTAGGAGTGAGTCTCTTTTGAAAGGAGGTCTGAGTAGCTAGCATACCTCCATGTCTGCCACATCAGCAGTGTGCTAGAGCCAGTTCATATTGGAGCTGATTGTTACATTTCTAGGAATTTTGTAAGGGGATTGTTAAGCATAGTCATTATTTAAATTAAAATAATATACTCACAAATCAATATACTAAACATAAAGATACAAATACTTGAAAGTCATCATTGCCTAATTACTTTGCTACGTTTTACTATTATCTATGCCCCTGAGGTTATATATGTTGGTTGTTTCTCCGTGACAATATTAAACTGTAGAGTAGTGTGCAGTGCATTGCACTCCCTATTTTACATCCAGTGACATCACATTGGTAGCTTGAAATTGGCAATGCTGGGAGTAAATTCATCATGGAAACTGGCAAACTCTACAAATCAGGGCTTGATTTATTGTTTCATTGATTGTCTTGACTTAAAATGATAAAGAAAATGTCAATAATGAAGATTATAAGTGTATCATGTATATAGTCATTACATGGTGAATAAAATTTAACAATTTGAGGAAATATTCTTCTAATATTCAAAAACTATGATCCAATTCATTAAAGAAACAGTTATTAACAAATGAGTGAAGTTCTTACTCTTAAGGTTTTTTCTTGCTTGTTTCACTTTCATTTTACTCATTAGCATAAGGAAAATAACAACTAATATTCAGCTCAGAACTGCAGTCATTTGTCAACTACAATCATAAGTTGGTTACGGAAACAACAGTTCCACAAAAATCAAACAAATGCATTTTGTGAGGATTAACTGGCTATATAGAATTTATTGTAAAGAATATTGTATTTTTTTATTAATTATAAATTGTATGATGCATTCTTAATATATATATAACACTTTTATTGAACTTATGTTTTCCATATACACATACAAATTTTCTTTTCCAGAAGAGCCAGTTGTTACACATTTACCAACACAGCACGGCTCATAGGCCTTTTCCCAAGTCACTGCAGCAGTCTCTGTGGTGTACCTTACCTTAGGTGCTCCAGCTCCCAGGAGGTGCCCAAGGGCTGTAATCACTGATTCTCTGGATGTGCTGGACCAAGTAATGGCTCAGATGGAGAGGGCTTCTACAAGACTTCAGTGACATGGGAATAAAGGAAATACTGCCTGTGCCTCAAAGGCTTAGAGTTTTAGTGAACACTCTTCTTTCAGTTTTGACTCACACCATTTCCCCACTCCCTTCCTAGGGACTCAGGCATGGGTCCACGGTGGGCTGGATGAGAACACAAAGTTGGTGGAGGATGCGCATTATGTTAAGAATTGCCCACTCCCCTCTACTCACTGGGGCTTGATTTGTTGTTTAACTGAATGTCTCTTTCCCAGGAGACTTCTCAGTAGTTTAAGATATCCCAATGATTTTAAGTAATTAATTTGTCAGATCAGTTCCAACCTTCTTTGAGCCTTGCTGTGGCCGTAGCTTAGGACCAGCTGGGCTTCCCTCCCTTCACATGTCTAAGCATCTAATGATAATATGACATTCCCAAGGAGAATGAGCTCACCATGCCATTTCCAGCACCCACATGTGGCCTAGGGGGCAGTGGGCAAATTGTTGTCTGATGAATGAATGCTGTGCAGCAGATGAGGGGAACATAGCAGGTGTATTAGCTTCCAATCATGGAATTTTCATTAGTCCATAGCAAGGCACATACTTTCCTATCACCAAGAAGATCTTTTTATCTGGGCAACATTACATGCAAGAAATGGCTGTAATTGAGTCGGAGGTTTAATGGGCTCCATCCTGATTGTGGGGCATAAGAGTGAGAGCAACGTGAGTCTTTCTGTTTGCTCCCTCCTAGGTGATTTATGGTCCCTGAGTCCCATTTAAATGCCTTTCAGTCTCATTTTTTAAGCTGCTATGCCCTCTGCCTGGAAACAGTGAGGCTATTTTGCTCTAACATTTAAAAATCCACCTGGCCCTTCCTGTGAGTATAGGTCCTCATGCCTTGGCCTGGCTTTCATGATATCTTTTGTAATATTTTATAAGGCCTTGGTCTCAATGGGCCCCTGTCATATCCCTCCCATTAACATGAGTCACAGGTTGACCCAGATGTCCTCAGATGGGGGAGGCAAACATCTCGGAAGCTGTTTGGATTATCACTCTTTCAGGTGTTACCAAGGGCTGGCAAGATCACCTTTAAGATGCAAGTGCTATGGGTATCAAACTCCCTAAAGTGAAATAGTCCCCATATCTTTTCCAAATTCAGAAAAGCACCATTGTACACAGGTGAAATCCCAATTTGTTTTTCATAGCTTTCACAGAAATGATCATTTTGATCTTGATTTTCTCAAAAATAAATAATAGATTTAACTCCTATTCTGAACCAGCCATTATACTAGAACATTTCAGTAAATTGGTGAGCAAAATAGATGTGATTCTTGCCTTTGTGGGATTTATAATCCAACAAGAAAAAGGGACTAAAGTAAAATGAGTTTAATAAATGAAAAACAGAGTGAGTTCAGAGAGTGTTGGCCTAGCCTAGTCCTAGGGCTTAGAGAAGGAACATACATCTACCCGAACATCCTGAAAGTAGGTAGAATTCAGCTACAATAATTATGACAAAAACTCATACAGCCCTTTCTATGTTCATTGTTGATATCTGCCTTGCTTTATACTCATTTAAGCTTCAGCCACATGAGATTACAATACAATGGAAACAGAATCTCAAGAACTTGCTAAAGGTCACACAGGAGGTAAGTCTCAGAACCAGGTTTCAACATAGCAATTTGGTTTCATAATCCTTGTTCTTAATGACTGTCTTAAGCCTGCCTCTCTGGTGCATAAAAATCAATTATTATTCTTTGAATAAATGAATGAAGAAATGAATACAGAGAGAGAAACATTGCAGGCAGAGAAATCAATCAGTGTAGATTCCCTGTGGCCAGAGAGGGCTGGATGCTTTGTATCACCTGGAAGACAGTCAGTGTGGCTGGAGCTTGGTGAGCAGAGGACACTTAGTGGTGGTCTTTTTCAAGGACACTCAGATTTGACTTTTTCAAATATCACTTGGGTTGCAATGCAATAAGTGGATTGCAATGCAAGAGAGGATGTTGGAAGAATAGCTAGGGGCTACTGCAATAGTCCTGGTGAAAGATGAAAGGATCAGAGTGATGGCCGTGGAGGAGAAGAAAAATGGAAGGGTTAGAGCTATAATTAGAAGGCAAAATTGGCAACACTCTCTCCTCAAGCCAGATGTGTTCCCACGGCACACCATGTCTGCTCCTTTGCCCATGTTGTTTCTGGCACCTAGAATGCCCTTTTCCTCTTTCTGCCTATCTGAACTCCTTCTTTTTTGATGACCCCAGCCCAGGACTGCTTTAGTAATTACTTCAGTTCTGTCTACATGAAGCTGATCTTTGCATTTTTAGTTACCATTGTATCTGAATCCATCATATCTCCCCAATTAGATAAAATTTCTTGAGTGTCAGGCAAGCTACTGAACCATATGTTCCTCTGTAGTTCCACAGCTGCTCTCACTCTGCTTCATAGTTAGCGGACGCAGTGTGGTTGGAGAGAAAACTGCTGTATTGTACAGAACACTAGACTAAGAGTCAGAAGTACTGTCCTCACTAACTGTATAATCAAATAACAAGTAATTTTTCTGTACTTCTGTGTTTTCATCTGTGAAATGGGTACAATTTCCTCCATGGTAACTTACTTCCAAGGAGTTGAGGATTGTTATGAGTGTCCAATAAGATAGGACATGTGAAAGGTCTTTTTATTAATAAAAGATTGCTTTACAACTTTGTGGGGTTATGAATTATATAATTGTATAAGAAAGTAGATTTGAGAAGAACTCAAATTGAATATGCTTAAAGAAAATACGGGCTTTACAAGAAGAATACTGGTATATCTATATCACACAATCAAAGAAGGCAACTTTGCACCCTCAGTGACTGGAAACAGGGGCTGAAATGCCAACAACATTCTCTCTCATATTCTATCTCTCCCTCTCTTCTCCCCCTCCCTTCCCTTTCTCTGCCTCTCATTCTCTTCATGCTCTTATTCTCTCTCTCTGTTTCTTTTCCATTGGTTGTCTTTATATGACCCTGAACCTCTTTTCTCTGCCCTTCTATGTTGGCTGTATTCTCTATATTGTCTGTATTGTCTATATTGCAGATGGCCCTTTTTCTCACAACAAAGTATATGGCCACAGGAAATACTGGGCTTATA
Source organism: Homo sapiens (assembly GCF_000001405.40). Lineage (NCBI taxonomy): Eukaryota > Metazoa > Chordata > Mammalia > Primates > Hominidae > Homo > Homo sapiens. The sequence continues at coordinate 153,359,572 of NC_000005.10, read as the reverse complement.
TCACTTTATTTTAAGAGATGAGAAGAAAAAAGACCTTTTATGTAGCCTTCACTTGGACAACTCCCAAAAGACTGATCTTGTGTAGTGGGCCCATCCTGAACCAAGGACCGTAACCAGGAAATGAGGCTACAATAGTAGGCATTTTTTTTTTACTGCCTGTTTCTATGACCAAATATACCTTTGGTCATAGAAATTCTGGGTTTCAGCCCAAACTATAACTTTATGGTTGGAATCCCCAAAGGAATAGGATTTATTTTAACAGAGTGAGGGGGGAGTGATGATAGACACACAAAACCACTCATGTACACTACGATGCATAATAAGAAATGTTCATGGCATTGACTTGAGTAGGCAAAGCTGTTGGCATGCTAGAAAGGAAGCAAGATGCTATGTTAAACATAAGACGTATACCACTAAACTAAGTCACCTTGCACAGATGATATGCTCAGAGCAGATAAGAAGAGATGACCTACAAATTTCATCCAAAGACACCTGGATTGATAGCAACTCACAACAAAAGATGGAATTTTGTCAAAGGGAATCAAAACAGATTGAAACATGTAAAGTGGTGAGGGGTAGCATGTTAGAAAATGACAAAAAAAAAAAAAAAACACAAATCAACACATGCAAGGTGAAAGACTATTAATGTCCTTCCCCTGATGGAGAGGGATTCTAATTACAAACAGAAGTTAGTTGATTGTGTGCAGATTTTATTCATTATCAGATCTGATTAGGCAAATTTTGACAAATGAGAAGTAGTTGTAAATTGCCCAGTGACAGGCTCAGTGTTGCTAGGTAACAAAGCAACACGATTCCCAATAGAACCAAAGAAAAGAGAGGAATTGCGGGAAAAAAATATCCTGACCTCCCTTTTTATCATTTTGGGAAATTTCTCCAGTGTACTACATTTTTAGGATTTCTACCTAGGTTCTCACATCTCATTCAAAGTGAAATATCAGCTTAGTTTCAGTTTTATGACTTTCTCTTTTGAGAAAGAGAAACTAGTCACTTTCTCTTTTGAGAAAGAGAAACTAGTCACTTTCTCTTTTGAGAAAGAGAAACTAGTCTCTTTCTCAACCTAGGTCAAGTGAATGGGGAATGAGCAGACTAAGAAAATGACATAATAGCTGTCTTCAAATATGTTAATTCAATTTATCGAACATTCAGCTAGTTGCTCCTATGTGGAGGGCATAGTTCTAGACACTGCAAGGTGTATTATACATAACAGCACCTGCTTTTGCAGTGCATGGGACACATAAACACCTACAAGGTTATATGAGAAGTATGGCCCACCTGACACATACCCAGGGGAGGATGGATATGTAAGAAATGATGGAAAGGAACATGAATGTTCAACTCAGAAGAAAAGGCTTTAGAAGGAAGCTAGAGCCCAAACTACTTTCAAATATAGAGGCAAATCTTATGGATGATGAAGAAACTTTGTTCTTTATGGCCCCATGGGAAACACCGCTATTAATGAGTGAAAGCTTCAAGAAGGGTATCTCAGTTCCAGAGGGAGGGACTGGCAACTAAAGGTGTCTGTAAGTGGAGTAAGCTTTCTTGTAAAGTTAGGTTTCCACTCATTAGTGGCTACCTGTCATCAAGGACCCTCTCCTGCTGTTTTAGTTTCTCCTTTCCTGGTCATTGCCATTGCAATAAATTGCACTGTCATCATCTCTTACCAGGACAAACATATTAGGTTTTCAGTTGTTCCCCCTATTTCTACTCTTACCTTTGCAATCCATTCTTCACACAGCAGCCAAATTAATTTTTAAAATGTAAATCAGA